>NW_025791790.1:0-196262 GCF_000001405.40 Homo sapiens
CCCCTAGAGCATTTAAACAGGAGCCAGTGCATTGGAGCACAGTGTATATTGACTGATGCACGGAGTTTCCTCATTGTCTTAGGAAAGGGTATGCTCGAACCTGGTGCTGTGTGCTAAAGAATAGTAACAGTGAGTGCAACAGGTGCTGCTGTCTCTGAATTCCAGGCCTGGCTTGGGTTCCTGTATTGGTTAGCTACTGCTGCATAACAAACAATCACCAATTCAGTGGCTTAAAGCACTGAATTAAAGCATTTATCCATGCTCAAAAATCTGAGTTTGCTGGGTGGTTCTTCTGGTCTTGGCTGGATTTACTCATGCCTCTGTGGTTACAGTGGGTTGAGTAGGCAGTGCCACTAATCTTGGCTGGGTCCTTTACATACTTGGGGGACAGCTGGCTTTGAGTTGTTCAAAGATGTTGCTGTTACCACACTTAATGACCAAATCAAGTCATACCATGTCTAGCTCAGATTCAAGAGGTGGAGAAATAAACTCCACTTCTTGATGGAAGGAGCTGCAAGATCACATTGCAAAGGGTGTGTGTACAGGAGGAAGGGATGAAGAACTCTGACCACCTTCCCAGTCCATCACCAAGTCTAGCCTGTTTCTCCATCCTGGGGATGCCTGGAAGTAGGGAGGAAACAGGTCAAGGGCCAAGAGGGTTTTCACATTTTCTCTTTTGACTCATTCTGTGTATCCCTCTTGTTCTACATGGTTGACATCCAGTGAAGCTTGCTGATTACTAGCTCAACACAACTGAATATTCAACAACTCTGTACAGCCTGAATTCAAATCTTACCTCATCACTCGTTAGTCGTGTGACTTTTTAGGCAATTTACTTATCTCTCTGTGCCTCAGTTCCCACATTTATAAAGAGAGGCTTATGGGATTGTTTTAAAACTTATTAGGTAATACACGTAAGGTGCTTGGAATTCTGACTGTACTTGGTAAGGCTTCGTAACAGTTGGCAGCTATTCTTTATGATTCCAGGAGTCCTTTCCATTTTCTTAAGAGGAAGGCCCTTAGGCCTGCACCCTTGTGTTTTGGTTATTTAAGATTGAGAACTTTGACACCGAGGCATATTTAACTTGGCAAGGGGAGGCACTCATGGTGTTTGCTTTGTGAAGGCTTATCTGCCTTGCTGTGTGAACTGGCTGGGCTGTTCACAGATGCAGAGGTCTCTGGTTATATCATGATGGCTTTACAGGGTCCAAGAATTATCTGCAGGTGTGCAACCTTCAGAGGACCTGGGGAAACTCAACAGACATGACATGGGCCTCTGGGGGCTCCTGAACCCAACTATTGAGATTACAGTGGCATAATGCAATCATTGCTATTGTTTTAAAGTGTTGTCTTTTGGATTGGTTCATTGCATAGCAATATATAACTGGAATAGGCAGTTAATGGGAGGATTGTGGTCAGAAGCTACTGTGAGGGCTGTTGAATTTTTCTCCAAAGCTCAGATGCCCAGTATTCCTAGTCTTCGAAAGAGAGAGAGGAAGATTGAGAGAGAGAGAGAGAGAGAGAGAGAGAGAAGAAGTTTTCTTAATCAGAGATTTCTCTTTACTTTCAACTAATTGCAGGTATTTTCATCTATTCTAAATGAGAAATACTATCCTCTATCATTAGGGTTTGCTGCTGTGTCCCTATTGAGACTTGTAAACTATTTGGTGATGAAATAGAAAACTGAAAAGTGAGGGCCCATTCAGCTCACAAGTACATGCATAGTTACATAGGTACAAGGTTGGTGACTTCACTCCCTGCTTTAACCAAGCATTCTGTCATATTTCCAGACTTGTGGGAAGACTTGACAGCTATTATTAATCTTGTTTTGTGTATTTGGGCAGATTAAAGTATTAAGTGCGCACAGCATGGGCTATAATCACCTGCTGTTTTCTTGAAGTAGTGTCCAAATGATAAGGCTGGAATATATATTTTTAGAAAGGGCTGGACACTCGATCCGGTGGGAGGGAACATCTGGAACATTAGACAGGGTAAGCCACCTTTGCAACTCCTTTCCCCCTGCTGTGACGTACAGGTGAGGTAAACAGTACTGAAGTCCAGGGCGTCGGTGCTCACTGCTCTGGCAATGCCCGGTGAGACTGAATTATGTTTAAATTTATTGTAGATGCTGATCTTCTGGACAATCACACTTTTCCTGCTGGGAGCAGCCAAAGGTAAGAAACACCACTCCTGCCCCGTAGGAAGGGCTTAAACTTAAGCTCTCAGCCCTGGCCAGAGAAAGCTTTAACTGTGGCAGGGCTCCCAGCAGCTCCAGGGTACCAGAGAGAAGATGTGGGCTGACACTCTGCCTGGGAGAGTAGGCTGGGCAGTTTAAGGGAGACCTGTTTCTGGGGATCCCCCCAGTGGCCTACCTTCATGCTCGGGGTGCCCAAGGCCAGACATTTCTAGGTAAAGCATGAAACATCTGCCTGAGTTAACATATTGACTTATCAATGCCCATGATCACATTGGTCAAATAAATGTATCAGAAGAGCTAGGAATGGGACTTAGAACTTTCCAGTTTTGAGGGTAGTTCTAAACAAAGGCTCCAGTGGTGTCCCTGTGGGATTCAATGGGACTGATACTACTACCGGCCAGTAGTAGGTGGGCACTGGGGTCAAGAAGAGAGTGGGAGGGGTTGCAGTAGGTTCATCCATTGTCTTCAGACTGTCCCTGAATAGAAGAGTGACCAGGCCCGAACAGCAGTGACACCCCAGAGCACACCTTGAGAGCAAATCCTTGAGCAGATTCAACCTTTCTCTGTAGGAAAAGAAGTTTGCTATGAGGACCTCGGGTGCTTTTCTGACACTGAGCCCTGGGGCGGGACAGCAATCAGGCCCCTGAAAATTCTCCCCTGGAGCCCTGAGAAGATCGGCACCCGCTTCCTGCTGTACACCAATGAAAACCCAAACAACTTTCAAGTGAGACCTCTGTCATTTAAATGTCACTGTAACTGGCACGGGGCTATGCCCACCCTGCAGACCATGAATACCTTATCTCTGTGCCCTCTTCCTCCACCATGCCCCACCCCATCCCTCAAGCTGCCCCCCAGACCTAGCTAGACCTAGACAGAGCAGGTCTTTAGTAATGTTGGCTTGAATGAATGAATGGTTCACATTTGCCAGAACCTCTAGCTACTGTGTGATTCTGGTCTGGGGCAAACAGCTTACTGTCTAACAAAAACCACAGGGAAGGTAAAACCTCAAACCACAATCCAGGCCTAGTGGAAGCAGTGATTACTCACCTGGAGAGATGGGGCAAGAAAAGGGAGATCAGGGTGGGCTTCATGGAAGAAGTGGCTTTTTGCTAAGCTTTGAAAAGTAGAGGCATTGGCGCAGGCGGAGATGAGGAAGGAAAAAGGCCTGTGAGGCTGGGCTGCGAAAACATGAAGCACTTCTGCGTCTGTCACAGATTCTCCTCCTCTCTGATCCATCAACAATTGAGGCATCAAATTTTCAAATGGACAGAAAGACCCGGTTCATCATCCATGGCTTCATAGACAAAGGAGATGAGAGCTGGGTGACAGACATGTGCAAGGTAGGAGCCAGCTCTGATCCCTGTGGCCAGCTGAGGCCAACACTTCTGCTAACATCTCTGCATCACTTTATGCACTCAAGAAATCTTTACATATTAGGTAACTTTATGCAATTAAAATGCTTCTCTTCACAAAAATTAAAATGCCTTTCCATGTTTCCGCACTACATCTGCACACTGAAGCAACCACATTTGCTGTTAGAAAAGTACTCCTACTACCTAATTTCTGGTTAAACCAAGGCCTGATGTTTTCTGCTTCCATTTGTAGTGAGGGTACTTTGTATCCTATAAGCGAGGGACTATAGGGGTTTCTTTGTTCAAATTTTTCCCACATCCCTGAGAGGCTGACATGTGTTGCTGTGACCACTTAATTGATCCCAGCACTTTGGGAGGCCAAGGTGGATGGATCACCTGAGGTCAGGAGTTCGAGACCAGCCTGGCGAACATGGTGAAACCCTATCTCTACTAATGATACAAAAATCAGCCTGTTGTGGTGGCAGGCTCTTGTAGTCCCAGCTACTTGGGAGGCTGAGGCAGGAAAATTGCTTGAACCCAGGAGGCAAAGGTTGCAATGAGCCAATATTGTGCCACTACACTCCAGCCTGGGCAACAGAGTGAGACTCCATCTCAAAAAAAAAAAAAAAAGAAAACTAAGATTAAGTTACTACAATGACAGAATAGAAAGTGTCACCTACATGTAATATAGGTCAGAAGGAGAGCAACAGAAGAATACACACATGTGCACACACACACATACATACATGGACATGTGTGCAACTTGTGCATACACACACAAACACACACACATGTGCGTGCAATATACCACAATATACCATCATCCTTTCTATTTATGTGGAGACTAGTTCAATCGATTTTTCTGTCACCTAAGAATTTACCTACCCCAGGAGCCTGCCTTCCACACATACATTAATAACACCAACCAGTAATGTCAAAAGGAAAAATTACAAACCCAGAAAATTAAAGTCATTCTGCACTTGCCCTTGGTTTAACAGGCATTTCACTCTTGGCACCTTTCCTGTCCTATCATTAATAAGCATCTTATTGATACAGTTTATACTCCAAATTCTCCAGGCTTGTGAAAGTTTCCTCAGGATTGCTTGAAAATGAAAGTCCTGGCCAGGTGCGCAGTGGCTCATGCCTGTAATCCCAGCACTTTGAGAGGCCGAGGCGGGTGGATCACCCGAGGTCAGGAGTTCAAGACCAGCGTAGCCAACATGGTGAAACCCTGTCTCTACTAAAAGTACAAAAATTAGCCAGGTGTGGTCGCAGGCGCCTGTAGTCCTAGCTACTCAGGAGGCTGAGGCAGGAGAATTGCTTAAATTCGGAGGCAGAGGTTGCAGTGAGCTGAGATCGCGCCACTGCACTCCAGCCTGGGCGACAGAATGAGGCTGTCTCAAAAAAAAAAAAAAAAAAAGAAAGAAAAAAAGAAAAGAAAAGAAAAGTCCTGAGGAGAAAACTCCCACTATCTCTGTGCATGTGATCACACATATTAGTATACTATATGTGGAATGATTCCAAGTGCATTTTAAATTTATAGTACCATTTTAAATTCAAGCTGGTAATATGTACTGCCTGGCAGAACTCCTAAAGATATATCAGCTCCTTTGACATCCAGGAAGACATTTTCCTTCCAGAATTCTTCAATCTCTTTTAAATCAGTACAGTTCTATTTTTCAAATATCTACATGTGTCTACTCCATGAAGTACTGTGTCATCGTGACTATAAAAATAGTGAAACTTCTCTCTCACTTTCCAGCAGCCTGGGGCATCGCCAAGAGCCTGAAAGGACCCCTTACAGTCAAATCCACAAGGTCATTTAGACACTGGCCACCGGAGATTGCACCTAAGACTTTTCCTTTTCAAAACAGGACTCTTTTCATGATGCAATTGTTTTTCCCTTACTAACCAACCTTACTGAATTTGGTTGAAGGAAACCAGAGAGTAGCCAGCTTCCAATTAATCTGCAAGCTGGAGGGGGAATCAGTTTGCCTTTCTCATAGCATTCACCCTGAAGGATAACTCCTAATTACCAACAGGATTCCCTAACAGAGTCTAGTTTATCTCATGCCCTAGCTAGGAGAAGAGAGAAGTGGCCATTTCTGAGCCCTGGCTGGATAAGGTTTCCCCTGCTCCCATTATCTCCCCAACCCCACTATCTCCCCAACACCAGAAACTGTTCGAGGTGGAGGAGGTGAACTGCATCTGCGTGGACTGGAAGAAGGGCTCCCAAGCCACCTACACACAGGCTGCCAACAACGTGCGAGTGGTGGGCGCCCAGGTGGCCCAGATGCTCGACATCCTCTTGGTGAGTCAGCTGGCTGGCCTATGTGAGGAGGGAAGCAGTGCCTGCTGGTCTCTGTTTGGTAGAGATGCAGCTGAGAGTTATGGATTAAAGAAGGACAAAGAATTGATATCCAGACCTTACTTCTAAAACTCTGAAATTTGCCTTCATAATGACACGCCAGTGGAAGCAAAAATAAGAATCGCTAACACTTAGAAAGTGGTTTTTTAAAAATCATCTTCAATTTACAGATAAAGAAACTGAGGCCCAGAAAGTTTAACTAGTTTGCTCCCAAAGTCATAAAGCAAATGAATAGAAGACCTGCCTTTTGATCCAGACCATCTAGCTTCAGAATTCACCCACAACACCAGGTGGGCTCTGTTTCGCGTGAAACACAGCATGGCCAGAGAGAGCCACAGAGAGCCAACGGACAGTACGTGCAATTGGCATGTACCAGCTCTACTGGCCTGGTGGTATGGGTCCTATTGATGTTGGGGAATTCCTTCTGCCACAATCATTTCACTTATTTCTTCCTATACTGTTTCATTATAGCTAACTCCTTCAGTCTTTAATTCTTTAAGTTGCTAATCCTTTGTGACTATTTTCTATACCAGGTAATGACTACAGCCATTTCTGTCTTATAGTTAAAGGGTCTACAAAAGAATCAACTTCTGCACTCCTGCAGAAATCAAAACCCATGGTATTTGTGCAAGAAGTATGATAGACCAATAAATGAAGTGCCTTTGGGTGAACGTCTCTGAGATCAACATGTGCAAATACCTCATAGCTCTATTTGATTTGCTTGTTCACCAGTACTTTTGGAGCAGAATGTCAGGAGTATGTGAGGAAGTAAAGAAGACACATGAGATCCCAGACCATCAAGGAGCTTGCAGTGAAAACTTGCAATGCCAGTAGAGTGCGATCTATTAGTGGGTTCTGATGGGGAGAGTAGGAGCTTTACAGGAACACATAGAAGGCAGCTAATCCACACTGATGGGGTGGGGAAAGGGCTTAAGGAGGTCTCCCAAGGAAGAGACGTCTAAATTGACAGCTGAAGGCTAGTCTGTTGATGTTAGCTGGCAAGTGCTTGGGGGATAGACAACAACAAGAAGAGAAGAACAAACCAGGCCCAGAGGTGAGAGGCTATGATGTATTCGAGGGTCTGAAAGTTCAACAAAGGGTTTGGCTGAAGAGTCTAGAAAAATAGATGATGAGTTAGGAAAGCTCGGAGGCCTTCAGAATGAGTTTGGGCTTGATCCTGAAGGCAATGAGAGGCATGGAAGGTTTTCAGCAGAGGAGTAATATCCATTAGGCTGGCATTTTAGAAAAACCACAGCAAAAAATGTCCTGAAAATACAATCTTCCCTCTCCAGACAGAGTATAGCTACCCCCCTTCCAAAGTTCACCTCATTGGCCACAGCCTGGGAGCCCACGTGGCTGGAGAGGCAGGAAGCAAGACTCCAGGCCTGAGCAGGATTACAGGTAAGGCCCCAGAGGCAGGGCCCCAGTTTTGTCCCCAGAAACCCCAGAATGAGGTCTCAAGAATGCAGCCCAGTTCAGAGCTCCCCTGAAGGAGACTGTCCCCCTTGGCTGTGATAGAGCTGCTTGGAGCCTGCACAGAACATTTTAGGGAGCCCCCAAGAAGCTCATGCGCCACCTTCACGGCAAGGGAAGGGTGATTTTGTTCCTCTTTGCTTCTTCCACCTCTGTCCTAGCCCCTCCTTTCTAAGTCCTGGTTTTCTGGTGGTGTTCGCCTCTCAACAGGACTGGGCACCCAGGAAAATGCAGAGTGAGACTAGTATGAACATGAGCAAAACATAATCAAGGAGGGTCTATATTGCCAATTCTTTCTCCCTTCTCTTTGAAATCAAGGGCAGAATAGAACCTAAAAATTGTTTCCCACTGCTTCTACTAGTAGAAGAAACCCAGTCGCCATTATGGCCAAAAGCATTCTTTTAACCCAATCAAAGCATTTGAATTATAACAGCAACAGCAAGATATATCTACATAATATGATGGTGATAATAATAATAATAATGCTATTATAATTATTATGATAAGCATAGATTAAGTGCCTGCTTATCCCAAATACTGCACAAAATGCTTTATATTTTCTTATATAATTCTCAGAACTGAAGAAAAAGGCTCAGGGATGCAAATAACTTGCCCAAAGCCACACAACTCATCAGTGGGAGAACTGAGATCCAGACCTGGTTTTGCCGATGTTTGGCTTAAGCAACTCTTTATAAGAAATCTCTCTTTTATTTTCAGCTGGCAACTACATTCACGTTCCTATTTTATCAGCTGCTGTAATGAAGCCTTCAAAAACTATTAACAAATCCAAGATCCCTACTAAGAAGGAAATTTGTCAAAAACAATAATTATTAATATCTTACTTATACACCCATGACTATACACCAGGCATTGTGCTAAGTGCTACCTATTAACTCATTTAATCTATAACAACCATATCAAATAGATGCCATTATCACCCCATTTTGTAAAATGAAGAACCTGAAGCACAAAAAGGTAGAGTGACATGCTCAAGGTCATGCATCTTGCCCCAAAAGCAGCTGAGTAGGAATTTGGAGCCAGGCAACCTAGACCCAGAACCTGTGTTCTTAACTATGATACCACATTGCTTCACCCCTTTCTTTCTACAAGCTTGGGGAGAGAAAGGATGATGAAGAAGAAAGATACACAAGTAAATGGGAGACTCTGGTGTGGAAAAAATCCTTGCTTAAACAAAATCTAAATTTCTTTGCTCATTTGTCCTCCTCCATCCACGCCACTGGGAACCCTTTTGCAATGAGCCACATTCAGACTCTATGTCCTCATATTTAGCACCCAAGGCCATGGCACTGCATCACTCTGGTGCATGGTACCCATTGAGTTGGGCAGTGCATAGCCCGGGCAGCTGTACACCTTGGTGCTGCTGACATCTACAGTCAGGTCTATTGTTCTGCAGTGCTGATCATCTCTTTTAGGGTTGGATCCTGTAGAAGCAAGTTTCGAGAGTACTCCTGAAGAGGTGCGACTTGATCCCTCTGATGCTGACTTTGTTGATGTGATTCACACGGATGCAGCTCCCCTGATCCCATTCTTGGGTGAGACCTATGATGCTCCAGCTGTGAGCACGCACAACTGTGTTTTAACCATGAAAGTCCTGCATGACAAAAAGCTCATTGTTTTTCTAAGCATTTCAGGTTTTGGAACGAACCAACAGATGGGTCATCTTGACTTCTTCCCCAATGGAGGAGAGAGCATGCCGGGATGCAAGAAGAATGCCCTGTCTCAGATCGTGGATCTAGATGGCATCTGGGCGGGTAAAGTCATGGTGGGGTGAGGGGAGCAGGGCGGGTACTTTCCTGGAGTGACCAATACCTTTCTGCAGCAAATCTTAAGAATAAAAATGAAACTGTCTTTAAAAATATACAATTCCCTCTTCTGGGGATTATTTCAGAAAAAATGTAGCTACATAGTATTTGTTATATCTCAGCTTTACTGCTTTTGTGCTTCCTTAAAACATTGCTGTGGATGTCCTGGCATGTACAAGCAACAAAGAATTATAAAACTGTCACTTAAAGCTGTGACTCCAGCAATCAGTTGGTAGTTACCTAATACAGAAAGGAAATACCATAAGAGCAAACATCCTGACTGTAACTAAGAGACTTTTGCTACAAATTCTCTCTTGGGAGTCAGTGATAAGGTTCAAAATGATGTAATCAGCTCCCTTTCAGTAGCTAGAATGAGAATATTCCCAGTGGTTTCCACAGCAAGCCTATTTGCACAATGAGAGCCATTGCTCACCCATGTTGAGTAGGAATGAGGAGCAATCACAGTTAAGGAAGGTGAGATGGGAGACTGCTATTGGATGTGGTTATTCTTTATTGTTGATCTAGCACACTTGGGAAGAAAGGGCATCCTGCAGACACAGCTCTGACTCTGTATCTAATGAGGCCAAAAGGACAATGGACAGGTGAAGTTTTCATCCAGACTTGTCATGTGGCACCACACGGAGAAAACCCTTAGTAGTCTGACCAAATGTAATGAGTAAAGATTTTTACTGAATTTCATCAAAATGGCTTGGCATATATGGATGCCATCAAAGCAAATATTAAGAATGAGGACAGGCCAGCTGTGGTGGCTCACGCCTATAATCCCAGCACTTTGGGAGGCCGAGGCGGGCAAATCACTTGAGGTCAGGAGTTTGAGACCAGCTTGGCCAACATGGTAAAACCCCGTCTCTACTAAAAATACAAAAAGTAGCCAGTCGTGGTGGTGCGTGGCTGCAATTCCAGCTGCTCGAGAGGCTGAGTCAGGAGAATCGCTTGAACCCAGGAGGCAAAGGTTGCAGTGAGCCGAGACCATGCCATTGCACCACAGCCTGGGCAACAAGAGCGAAACTCCATCTCGAAAATAAAATAAAATAAAATAAAATAAAATAAAATAAAATAAAAAATAAAGAATGAGGACATATGCAGTTTGTCTTTCACAGCCTCATGAGGGTTTGCGTGCATAGGGCAGTCAAAACTCTTCATCAGTAATGGCCCAGCAAGCTCAGGCCAGGTCTAGAAGGTATAATGTAACATTTGTCACTTGGCAGGAGTTGCAGGGAGCCCAGAAAGGTTGCAAGTAAAATCAAGACACTATGAGAGTGAAGCTCATACAAAACCACCTAAAGTTATCCAGCCCTTGTTTTTATTTGTATAACTGCCGCATGGAAATGTCCTCGCATTGGCTTGGTCATGTCACATCTGGTCATGTCTTTGAGGACCTCCAGCATGGTGCCTGGGACATGAGATGGCACTAAGGTTAGAGGGATGGGCCGAAGACAAGATGGGCATGGGTTTAATTACCAGCTTTCCCACCTATTAGCTAAGCTGTAAATCTGAGGCTACACTCTGTAGTCCTTTCTGTAACATAGGAATGAGATGATAATGCATAAATAAGGATGATATGGTACCCACCTCCTAGGAAGACTGAGGATTACATGGACAAGGCAGGTAAAGTGATCAGAATGTTGCCTTGTACACAGAAAGCACCCTCTATATGTTAATTGTCATTATGGTGGCTGAATTTTGGATTTATCTTAAGTTTCTGAAAATACGGTCCTACTTTGGAACCATCCCATTTGGAGAGAGAGGCAGAGAAGCTGTTACAGGCCCCCAACCACCTGTTCAGGTCTCCTTATTTGTTTTCCCAGGAACCCGGGACTTTGTGGCTTGCAATCACCTAAGAAGCTACAAGTATTACTTGGAAAGCATCCTCAATCCCGATGGGTTTGCTGCATATCCCTGCACTTCCTACAAGTCCTTTGAGTCTGTAAGCTATTGTCCTGCCTCGAGCAACAAGCATCACCCCTCTGAGGGACTGCTGTCCTGCTGCGTTTGGGATTTGCAATGCCTTCTCACTACACGTTTTGCATTGACCCTCAGAGTTCATGGTCCTGTGGAGTGGAAGAGAAAAAAAAGTAAACAACTTTTGGCAGGAGATGGCTAAAATTTTAGATGACATGAGTTATGTGGCAGAGGAAAACTGGGAAATCAGAGAGAAAGAGCAGTCAATTCAATGATATAGAGGCTTCCTGCAGGAGGCAACCTCTGAATCTAGCTTAAAAATGATACAGTTTAGAAAACACAGGAATGCACATTTCTGGCAAGGGCAGAGCGAGAGTAGAAGAATGTATAGAGAATAATTCACACCAGAGAGAAAGCAAGGTGGATGCTGGAGTCCTATATGCCAGGCTGGCAACAAGGGGAGAGATGAAGAATGACAGGTTAGAGCCTGCCTATTCTGGCTCACGAAAGCCAGCATGAGTATCCCTTCCCAACTCCAAATTCAGAGACATCATGTTGGTAGCCTGAAACTGGCCACAGTCAGAGTATTTACACCACTGAAAATGGTAAGCACTGCAATCCAGGGTTTTTGTCCCAGAGCTTTTGCTGCTTATCATTCACCAGCTCCACTCAACAGAAGGTATAATTGATCTAACCTGGGTCCTGGGCATCAGTATTTTTTAAAGCTCCTCAAATAATTCTAATGTGTTGTGCCTAAAAGTTGGGAACCCTGATCCAGATGAAGGTAATTTAGAGATCATCTGCTCCAACCCCTTTGTTGTCACAAAGGAGAACGCTTAGGCTGTAGGAAAATTGAGTGTCTGCCCTCTCAGATGTATCGATCATACAAACACAAATTCTCCTTACAGTCCCATCTATCTCTTCTCATTAGGACAAGTGCTTCCCGTGTCCAGATCAAGGATGCCCACAGATGGGTCACTATGCTGATAAATTTGCTGGCAGGACAAGTGAAGAGCAGCAGAAATTCTTCTTGAACACAGGAGAGGCTAGCAATTTCGCTCGTAAGTTGCACTTTGACTACCTGCCCATGTAAAGAAAGTATATAGTTTCTGTTACAAATGAGGGGCTTGCTTTCAACCTGAAATATTTGTGGGTACATTTTAATTATCTTAGAAATGGACACATTTACCGAAACTATTGCAGTTACAAGTAAACTGAGGATTTAGACAGAGTGTGCATTTCTTCCGTTCTATTTCTGCGGCATGAAATGAGAGCAAGCAACTAGTATAATTAATGGGATGAGGCCAGTTTGCACATCCTTGTGACCAGCTACCCTGAATTTTTACCACTCCACAGTTCATTGTTTCTTTCCTTTTTAAGGCCGCATCAGACACACCTGTTCTCTTCATTCAGCAAAGACGTAATTGGTACCAGCTCTTTGCTGGGCTATGTCCCTTAAGAAGCCCAACTCCATTCTCTGCTTTCCCCTCTGTCTGTGCATCCCTGATGCCCAGGGGCTGCCTCGCTGGTGGAGTGCAGGCAGGAATCAGGGGGAAGGATGATTTCTCTCCAAAACCTGCTGAATGGACTAAGACACAGGGTAGAGACTGGGCATGTTTGGGCCACTTTGTACCAACCTGCCCCATGACACTTCCATAGGAGGTGACCCAGTAAAGACAGAGGTTACATATTCATATAAATGTATAACACATCTTACATAGTTTTTAAAGTCAGATTTATTGAGGTATAATTTATATTTGGCAAAATGCACGCTGTTTAGCATACACTTGTATGAGTTTGGACAAATGAATAGTTGTGTAAACACCTCCAAATCAAGATACAGAACACTTCTATCACCATATATATCACTCTGTAATTTTTTTTTTTTTTTTTGAGACGGAGTCTCGCTGTGTCGCCCAGGCTGGAGTGCAGAGGCGCAATCTTGGCTCACTACAACCTCCCCCTCCCGGGTTCACGCCATTCTCCTGCCTCAGCCTCCCGAGTAGCTGGGACTACAGGCGCCCGCCACCATGCCAGGCTAATTTTTTTTTTACATTTTTAGTAGAGACGGGGTTTCACCATGTTAGCCAGGATGGTCTCGATCTCCTGACCTTGTGATCCGCCTGCCTCGGCCTCCCAAAGTGCCGGGATTACAGGCGTGAGCCACCGCACCCGGCCCACTCTGTGTATTTTTTTTGTAAGAAGACATTGATTAATCAATCCTTCCACTGATGTTGTGATGCATGAAATACTTGCCAATATTTCAACAACAAATTAAACACTCAAAAACCAGGTATTCATTCCTCAATCAACATTTATTTATGGGCCACAGACTATGCTAGACACTGAGGATGCAGGGACGAACAAGAGACTCCTCTCATGAAATTAATAATCCAGCCAAAGACAGAAACTGGGCAAGCAACTACAAGCGTGTTGGGCTTGGTGGCTGTTGCCATGACATTATGGGACAGAGAACCTGGCCCTGACCAGAAGGAGGGTCAGGGTCAAGGTCTCTGAAGACACGAAAGATGAATAGGAGTTAGGCAAGAATCATGTCTGTGTATATTAATGTACATCTGTGCACATGTGTGGGTGTATGAATGCATGTGTGAGTGTGTTTGTGTATGTACCTTTGTGTGTATGCATGTGTTTATATACGTATGTATATGAGTCTGTATGTTTATGTATATGTATGTGCATGTGTATGTATATTTGTATGTGGGTGTCTATGTATGTGCGTGGTTAAATGTGTGTAGGTTTGTGTGTGTGTGCACATACACATGCATGTTTGTGTAGATGTATGTGTGTGTGCACATGCACATGTTGTGTATATGTATTTGTGTATGTGCACGCACATGCATGTTTGTGTATATGTATTGTGTGTGCACATGCATATGTTTGTGTATATGTATTTGTGTGTGTGCACGCACATGCATATGTTTGTGTATATGTATTTGTATTTGTGTGCGTGTGCATGCAGGCCCTGGGACAGCATTTCAGGTAGAAGCCTAAGTGACAGCTGCTCGTGCACCTGCTCTGTGCTAGAGACTGCCCAGGGCCCTGGGGAGCAGAGAGGAAACACAGTCCCCGCCCTCGAGGTGCTTGCCAGGCTGCACTCCCGAGCTACCTTCCCAAATGTGGAGACAAGCCCCTATTCCCTCTCTCTTCACCTTACCTTACTGTACTGCCATTCTGGGGCAGAGCTGGCTAACAGAACTTTCTGCAATGAGGGGCATATTCTGTGTAGCCATTAGCCTCATGTGGCAACTTAACATTTGCAACACAGCGAATGAGTTTGAGAAACTAAATTTTTAATTGTATTTAATTTGGATTTAAATGTAAGCAGCCACATGTGGCTGGTGACCTCCTCCCTGGGCAATGCAGTTCTAGAGGGGGATACTGCTAAATACATACTTCTCCATAAGGCCTTGTTTGATTTGTAGATTAACAAATAGAATTTCTTATACTTTGGCTGGGTGTGGTGGCTCACGCCTGTATTCCCATCACTTTGGGAGGCGGACACGGGCGGATCACTTGAGGTCAGGAGTTGGAGACCAGCTTGACCAACATGGCGAAACTCTGTCTCTACTAAAAATACAAAAATTAGCCAGGCGTGATGGTGTGTGCCTGTAGTCCCAGCTACTAGGGAGGTTGAGGCAGAAGAATTACTTGAACCTGGGAGGCAGAGGTGGCAGTGAGCCAAGATTGCACCACTACACTCCAGCCTGGGTGACAGAGTGAGACCCCATCTCAAAAAATAATAATAATAATTTTTTAGAAAAGAATTTCTTATGCTTTGTTGCCTCAGAGTAAGAGAAGGAGACAAGTCTGGGATGTAGGCTACTTATTTTGTGTGTGAATAAATTGAACTCTTCCATCTCCTGTGCAGGCTGGAGATATGGGGTTTCCATCACACTGTCTGGAAGAACAGCCACTGGTCAGATCAAAGTTGCTTTGTTTGGAAATAAGGGAAACACTCACCAGTACAGTATCTTCAGGTAATTTCCTATTTTAACACTACGTCTCATTTGATGATATACACAGCCTTCAAACCACACACTTAATTTGAACACTTATCATCTCTTTATATGTCACTGGTTTTTAATTATAGTCATGCAACATGTAACAACATTTTAGTTGATGGACCACATACACAACAGTTGCTTTATAAGCTTGTAATACCATATTTTTACTGTACTTTTTCTATGTTTGGGTGTTTAGATACACAAATACTTACCATTGTGTTCCAGTTGTCTACAGAACTCAATACAGTAACATGTAGTACAGGTTTGTAACCTAGGAGCAATAGGCTGTACCATACAGCCTAGGTATGTAGTAGGCTGTGCCATCTACGTTTGTGTGAGTACATGCTATGATGTCCACACAATGATTAAATTACCTAAGGACACATTTCTCAGAACATATCTCCATTGTTAAGCAACGCAGGACTATATAACTTTATGTACTGATGTTAATTGCAGACTTCTGCTAATAATTTTTCTTTTCTGTTATAAACCTAGGCATTTCGTCCTTTCTCTCTCTTTTTTTTTTTTTTTTTTTTTTTTGAGAAAGAGTCTTTGCTCTGTCACCCAGGCTGGAGTGCAGTGGCACGATCTTGGCTCATTGCAACCTCCGCCTCCCGGGTTCAAGAAATTCTCGTGCCTCAGCCTCCCAAGTAGCTGAGATTACAGGCATGTGCCACCACACCTGGCTGATTTTTGTATTTTTAGTAGAGATGGGGGGCGTTTTGCCATGTTGGCCAGGCTGGTCTCGAACTTCTGACCTCAAGTGATCCACCCATCTCGGCCTCTCAAAGTGCTGGGATTACAGACGTGAGCCACCATGCCCGGCCTCTTTCTCTTAATAGATGTTTTTTTAAACATAAATCTAATATTACTTCAGATATGCTGTTTTCTGATTAGTGCAATAACACATGCTTATTGTGCCATACTATGTGGCCAATTTGTTACTGTACAAATAATTCTTCCAAAACATATAAAATGATATGCAGGAATTCTATTTTATTTTCTATTAGAAAGCTTTAAGGAAAAATTAACTTGAGTTTTAAAAACCATAGTTTGAGGTGCTAGCATATAGCTGGCTTTTCCATTTCTCCATCCTTTATTTGGAAATTAATTCGGAAAAATAATCCTGTTAATCTAGAAGAGAAAACAGCAGCCTGGCATTGTATGGTAATTAGAACTCATTTCCGTGAACAGGGATGTTTATGTTTCTCTATTTCAAGGGGGATTCTCAAACCAGGCTCAACCCATTCCTATGAGTTTGATGCAAAGCTGGATGTTGGAACAATTGAGAAAGTCAAGTTTCTTTGGAATAACAATGTGATAAATCCAACCCTCCCCAAAGTGGGTGCCACCAAGATCACTGTGCAAAAGGGAGAAGAGAAGACAGTGTATGTATCTTTGCTGGCTGGTGCCTAAAAATGTTTGCAGAGATTCATGTTATAATGAAAACCCACCCTAGAAAGTTACGTGTAGTTAAGCAAGAAAAGCCAAGAAAATTTACCCATCTGTGGCCCCTTCTCCCCAAACAAGCAACTGACAAACAGCATAAAATGTTTCTGTTGGGTGCACCTTATTGGGTGTTCTCAGCACTGCCTGTGGGAATACAGAAGATAAGGCTGCACTTTCAAGGTAAAATGAGAAAATACAAGAAAGAGAACAAGAAATCCTTTCTGAAGGGTACAAGTTTATAAGTATGGGCTAGTGAATAGCTATACTTGAAAGAGGAGAAGACCAATTACATTTCAGGATAATAAAACGGAAAATAAATCGGTTTTAGGAAAAGATCGAAAATTTTACATAGGACAAGAATGCACTAGGATTGCAATACTTGTGAGATCCTGACCTGTGGTCTCCCTGGCTTTGGGCCTGAATAAGCACAGGGCCGTGGGTAGGAAAAAGGGACGGCTGGAGGAAAGTTGGAGTGGTGACCTGAGAGGGCAGAGCGACTGTCTCTCAAACCTCAGACCCCAAGTCTGGCTAGTAGAACATGTGGCTTTGTGGGAAGGAGATCCTGGGCTCTCAGCCACCGATGTTCTTGAAGTTTGGGGTTAGGTGGAGTCACCGAGTTCAGGTCCCAGAGATTGTCACTCCCCCAGGTGGGGAGGGTGGGGTGGCAGAGTAGAATGGGGGCTGACTCCACATCTGGGTCTCCTCGAACTGGATGACTTAGTGAGGTTCTCCTTATCCCCACGAGGCAAGGAGAACAAAGAGGTTGGCCCTGCCAGGTGGTGGGTGGAACCAGGAGGCCTCATAAGCTAGAGCATAGTACAGAGGAGGCTGGGCCGGGCTGGTCGGGAGCCCTGTGCAAGCTGGAGGTGCAACCAAATCCTTTCCTCCCTGACCCCATCAGAGGATACTCAGCCTCTAAATTCAGCTCCCCAAGGCCCCATTAGCAAGCATCCCATGGCCTGGATCCTGGGACTGTGTGGTTAAAAACATGTCAGGTGGTGGCATCATTGGAATCTTAAAAATTAGAGGTGTTCCCAGGAGATGACTTGCTCACAGGTAAGGCATACAAGTCCAAATCAGCCAGGGCATTGCATCTTCCAGGTTTTCTGAGGAAAGGCTGAGGCTTTCTGAACTTTCTGCAAATGGAACAGAACATACTTAAGGCTGCACCTGAGGTCCTGTGCCCATCAGCTGTCACCTGCATTCCAGTGGCTGAGTGCAGCTCCCCTCGCTGTCTGCTCCAGAAAGACTCTTTCTTAAGAGCAGCTGGATATAAGACATCAGGTTTTCTAAACAGAGGAAAGTCAAAACAGCTTCAAATCTCTCAAACTAGTTTGGGAAGTAAAAACACTGAATTAGTTGAATTACTCAAACATTTTCCTGTTATGAAAATGGCCAGTAACATTTAATAATAATAATAATAATAATAATAATGAAGAAGCTAAAGAAAATCAAGATTTTGGTCCAAGCTCTTCTCAGAATCCCCTCATATTTTTTAGTAACCTCATTGGGGTTTCAATTCCTACTAAGGAATCTGCCGACTAGGATTCCCTCCAATGACACAGTATCCAAAGAGAAAGGCAGCCCTCCCCCTCTTTATTTCTCCGTCCCCCTCTCTTTATTAAGTACCTTTGGTAAATGTACCCTTGCAAATGACTTTATTCAGTACCTATTGTATGGCCTGGCAAACAGTAAGGGATGCAAACACTGAGCCTACACTCAAGGAGCTTACAGTTCAGCTGTTGAGAAAAATCAGACTTATGGTTCACAGGGAAGGTCAAAAGACCAAATAAAGAACTCCCAGGAGAGGCTCAGAAAGACAGTGGCCAAGGAGGAAAGCAGAGGGCCGCGGGGAGGCTGTGATGGAAGGAAGGGCAGCTCTCAGGATGAGGCAGGGAGTAGGAGGGAGGAAGGGCACAGGGGCAGGGCAACAGGTCCAAGTGCATGAGGGGCGACAGGGCCCAAGTGCAGGGAATATGATCGGAGGCCTCCGATGCCAAGTTAGGGCTTCTTGGCAGAAAAAATGAAACACAGAAGAGAAAGTGGGAAGGGGCCAAGGAACACCAGTGAGGAAATGGGGCAAAGCTTCCGAGCTCACAGGTGGTGAGGCCTGAGAGAAGTCCGTGGTTCTTGAACAACCACAAAAATAACTGCTTACATCTGCATTGTTTTTTGTTAATTGTAAGACTTTTTACATTTACCATCATGGGATGTTACGTTCTTATCATGGAATTCTCAACAGTCGTGGGAGAATGACTGAGATGGAATCTCGCTCTGTTGCCCAGGCTAGAGTACAGTGGCATGATCTCAGCTCCACTGCAACCTCCACCTCCTGGGTTCAAGAGATTCTTGTGCCTCAGCCTCCCAAGTAGCTGGGATTACAGGCATGCACCACCACGCCCGGCTAATTTTTGTATTTTTAGTAGAGACAGGGTCTCACCATGTTGGCCAGGCTGGTCTCAAACTCCCGGCCTCAAGTGATCCACCTGCCTCGACCTCCCAAAAGTGTGGGGATTACAGGCATGAGCCACCACACCAGGCCTTGCCTTGCTCTTTTGATACTGTGTCATTGGAGGGAATCCTAGTGGGCAGGTTGTTTAGTAGGAATTAATACCCCAATAAGGTTATTAAAAAATATGAGGGGATTCTGAGAAAAGCTTGGACCAAAATCTTGATTTTCTTTAGCTTCCCAGTTACTAACTACATCCTTCCTCAGAGTCCTCAGATAACTAGCCCCGAAGCACTCAAATGTGGGAGGGAAAGGTCATGAGGAACTCCAGGGAGGAACGCCAGGTCCCCCGACTCCAGAGCTGGAAGACAAGGTCAAGGAAGGCTTGATGTGTGATCCTACCATGGAAAATACAGCCTCTGGCATCAGATGGACCTGTTTTTGCATCTTTGTTATTCTGCTGATTAATGGAGCGCCCTTTGTGCCTCAGTTTCCTCTCCTGTAATGTAGAACTAATCATCAGACCCCCTCACACATGTGTGGTGAGGATGCAGTTTGCATAAGTGAATTAAGCAGCATAATTGGCTGCAGATGAGAAGGGCTCAGGGCGTGTTGGCCGCTGTCCCCTTCCGAGAGTGACTGGAAGACAGCATCCCTCTGTAAGCCAGGCTGCTGGGCCTATGGAGGCCGCCAGGCGCCTGTGGGGACAAGGAGGTGAGAGTCCCTGCCTTCGGAGGCCACCGTCCTGTGTGACACTCCAGAACCATAGCAGACCTTGTCCTAGAGCCTCCAGGCAGCAAGCGCTGTAGGCGCTGGTTGCAGCTCCAGCCCTAGTGCCCCCTCGTGCCTCCTGAATCACTCATCAACTGTGACCTGGGCTTAACCCCTTAAGAAAAACCAAACCAAACCAAACCAAACCAAAACAAAACAAAACACCTGGCTTTTGCTAAGGTGACCCAAACTCTTACAAAGCTTCCTTTTCTCCCCAGGTACAACTTCTGTAGCGAAGACACAGTGCGGGAAGACACGCTGCTCACCCTCACGCCCTGCTAAGCTCCCGGGGCGACGAGGCTGCTGCGTTCACACTAATAAAATCCACTGGTGCATCTGTATGCTCTGGGTCTATCTCCTGCCGCGGCCGCCTCCCGGGGATACATTTGGGAATGGAACGTTTGCAAATGTCCCGAGCACGTCCCCATACCTGGGTTTCTCCCCGTTAACTTTGGGTCACACGGTTTCCCTGGCTCCTGTGCGTAGGTCGACTGTCTTCTCCGTGCCTGAGCTGGTGGCGATGGACTGAACTCCGGAGCCTCAGCTCAGGGATACCAGCCTTTAGCCCCGTCCCTCACTTCACAGGGAGGAAACTGAGGCCCAGAGGAGCAGGTAGCTGTTCAAACTCACTGAGTGACTCGCTGTCCCCGTCAGGTCGGAGGGCCGGGCCCCGGACCCCTATTTCAAGGACCCTCCCTGACTCACCGAGACCACCCCGAGGGATCGCGGCAGGCCCGGGAGGACCAGCCTCTCTGAGGAGGTAGATTTGAGGGTGAGGGGACCCCTCGTTGGCCCTGGCTCTTGGGGAGGTGCGCAGAGGCAGGCACAGGTGCAGGGCGCTCCCGGGCTTCCTTCCTGCTCCCCTGGGTCGAGGCGGCCTCGCGGCCACCTAAGCACAGAGCGGCGCGGAGGCGGGGCCCAGGCGGGCCCTGCTGAAACGGGCTTTTCCGTCAGCCAATCGGCTGGGGCCCCGAGGAGCCTCCTCCCCCCCCACCCGCCAGTCTGGCGTCCCCATGGGCCCAACCCATAGAGACCTGGGAGGAGCGGGCGTTCTTTCAGGAGGCGTTTCTGCCCCGCGGTGTCCCAAGTCACCACTCCCCCCAGGGAGTCTCTCTGTGGTTCACCAAGCCCCGCATCCTACCCCGGCAGTCCTGGTGCCAACTTCTTTTTCTCTTTTTTCTTTTTTTTTTGAGACGGAGTTTCGCTCTGTCGCCCAGGCTGGAGTGCAGTGGCGCGATTCTCGGCTCCCTCCAAGCTCCGCCTCCCGGGTCCACGCCATTCTCCTGCCTCAGCCTCCCGAGTAGCTGGGACTACAGGCGCCCGCCACCACTCCCGGCTAAGTTTTTTTGTATTTTTAGTAGAGACGGGGTTTCACCGCGTTAGCTAGGATGGTCTCGATCTCTTGACTTCGTGATCCGCATGCCTCGGCCTCCCAAAGTGCTGGGATTACAGGCGTGAGCCACCGCGCCCGGCCACCGACTTCTGTTTCTAACCTGCGTGGCCACGTCAAGCTATCATTGAACTTAAGACTTGAATGCGAGTGGGCTTCGATTATCCCTCCAAAGCAGGGTCGTGGCGAGGATCAAAGGAGCGACCTTAGGAGGGGCCTTACAGGACAGGGTGCAAGGCGAGTGCTCGGTAAACCGCGGTGATGACGAGGGTGATAAAGACGGCGGCGGCCAGGGACACCCACCCCTTGGGTGGTGGCACCAAGTGGGAGACAGCCAAACCCTCTGGTTCTCTGTCAGTTTCAGCAGCATCCGCAGTGAGCCCACACCCCAGGCAAAGAACTCAATCAATGGAACGTAGATTCGCCAAACATTTATCAAATACCAGCTCTGTACCCACCCCTGTGCCAGGCATTGGCAGGAGAGGAAATCAGAAGACATGCTGCCCTCAGGCAGTGCTTGGTGTTAGGGAGGCTGCCCCTGAAAAAGCACTGTGATGCTGCCTACTAGGTACAAAAAGCAAGGTAGGTCCCAGGCCAGGGAATTTCAGAAGGAAGGAGCAAGACAAGAAGGCTCCACAGAGATGGTGGTTACAGGACCAGGCTTGAAGGAAGATGTCCTACCAAGACCGCAGCCTGGGAGGCCAGCTAGGAGGAGGCGGCATCTGCCAATACCCAGAATTGATAAGGACCATCTGAGGGTAGTGACTGGAACCAAGGTATAAGGGAGGGGGTGTGGCTGGTTGGCCATGGGTGAGAGCCCTACTCCCTGGTCAAGGACAGTCTGTCTCACCATGCTTCCCAGACTGACAGCTATGGGTGTGATGACTTGGGAAAAACAATTTTAAAATAGGAAGGAAACTGAGAAGAGAGAAACTGGAGAGAGGAAGCCAGCTGGGGAAGCTCCCCAGGGCTGTTGGCCACATCCATAAGCACTCGGCCAAAGCACTGCTCTGAACCTTGGAGTGACCTGTGGTGACCTGGGTCCCAGTTGCAGAGGCAGAGATGGTTGGATCTCCAGGGGCAGGGGAGGCAGCAGATGGAGACCTGAGCTGGAACGGGGCCAGGCCCCTACTCACTCCTCCCACATTCCCTTCCTGGAACCTATGTCCTTTTATCAGTTATGCAGCTGGAAAAATCCCCAGGAAGGTAAAGAACAGCAGGTTCCAAGATCACCAGTGTGAACTTTGACTACTGATCAGTGTGGGTATCTACGGTCCACTTTCTGATGCCACTGGGGAGTCCAAGCTCAGCCCCACAGATCCGTAGCCCTTACACCCTGACTTGAGGAGATGTGGAGTCCAGGACTCTCTGGGGTAGGCCTGCCCTGTCTTTATGGCCCTGACCAAATCTGATCAGGTTTCTAGATTTAAGGGGTTGTATGAGGCCAGCTTGATTGGACTTTTCTATTTGTGTTTTAAGTAACAAAAGTGGCACATTGTTCAGAATGCACATGGATAGAGTCTTTGGGGCAATGAAAATATGCCATACTAACATTGACTTTATTAACATAAAGCTCAGATGGACATCCAGTCTTGTTGGAAGCAATGAAAAAGGGCACTGAGCTAGCATTTAGGATTCTAGTCAAGCCAGGTGACCCTGGACAAGGGGTTTCCACCTCTCTGGACCATAGCTTTCTCATGGGTAAAATGAATGCAACATTTGAGCCCTGTCTTTCTCATGTTGTCTTAAGGGTCTAACTTACAGGGATGTCCAACCGTTTGGCTTCCCTGGGCCACATTGGAAGGACTGTCTTGGGCCACACATAAAATACACTAACGACAGCTGATGAGCTAAAAATAAATAAATAAATAAAAATAAAAGTTTAAAAACTTGCAAAAAATCTCATAATGTTTTAAGAAAGTTTACGAATTTGTGTTGGGCTGCATTCAAAGCCAATATGGGCTGCATGCAGCCCGTGGGCCGTGGGTTGTACAAGCTTGGATCAGCATCACCATGGGAACGTAAGGCTCTAGCCTTAAGTCAGTGTGCTATAAGGCGAGCAAGGCCATCTAAGGAGTGTGGTCACAGTCTGGCTGCACACCCCAAAGTTACCCGAAGGCTGTAGGCATGCAGAGCTTTGGGGTCCCTGCTAGGTAGCAATGCTTGTTAAGGTTGGCTCCAAGCCCCCCAATCCACACCCTGCATACAACTCCAAGGTGCACGAAGCCAAAACACAATCAAGACATGCCACTTGTTCTCCATCCTGGCTGCAAACCAGAGTCACCTGGGAGTTAAAAAAAAAAAAAAAAAAAGAAAGGAACAGAGAAATCCCAGGCCCCACTCCAACCAATTAAAGGGTAATCATAAGCCACAGGCTGCTTTAAAAAGCCCACAGGTGATTCCCATGTGCAGCTAGGTGAGAGTCCGCCCTGATATAGGAGTATTTAACTCCCAGGACTCCTGGGCAGGCTGTCTCTGAGAAATTACTATGTGTTTCCATTTTGATGATAATCTATTTTTACCAGTTATAAAAATAAATCTTCCTTTTTGTTGTGATAATTTGTAGCAGAACTTTTGTTTCCTGAGCTGAGGCTTAATAGAATGAAGTCAATAGGAATATTCCAGGGGGTCGTGAAAGTTTTTTTTTTTTTTTTTTTTTGAGATGGAGTCTTGCTCTGTCACCCGGGCTGGAGTGCAGCAGCGCAATCTCGGCTCACTGCAAGCTCTGCCTCCTGGGTTCATACCATTCTCCTGCCTCAGCCTCCTGAGTAGCTGGGACTACAGGCGCCCGCCACCACGCCTGGTTAATTTTTTGTATTTTTAGTAGGGACGGGGTTTCACCATGTTAGCCAGGATGGCCTCAATCTCCTGACCTCGTGATCCACCTGCCTCGGCCTCCCAAAGTGCTGGGATTACAGGCATGAGCCACCACGCCCGGCTTTTTTTTTTTTTTTCGAGATAGAGTTTTGCTCTTGTTGCCCAGGCTAGAGTGCAGTGGCACGATCTCAGCTGACTGCAACCTCCGCCTCCCAGGTTCAAGCGATTCTTGTGCCTCAGCCTCCCGAGGAGCTGGGATTACAGGCACGCACCACCATGCCCAGCTAATTTTTGTATT
Organism: Homo sapiens; assembly: GCF_000001405.40. NCBI lineage: Eukaryota > Metazoa > Chordata > Mammalia > Primates > Hominidae > Homo > Homo sapiens. The sequence goes on from NW_025791790.1 coordinate 24,336, forward strand.
TTTAGTAGAGATGGGGGTTCACCATGTTGGTCAGGCTGGTCACGAACTCCTGACCTCAGGTGATCCACCCACCTCAGCCTCCCAAAGTGTTGGGATTACAGGCGTAAGCTACTGCACCCAGCCCGTGAGAGTTTTTTTTAGAAAGAATAGAGTTCACATATTTACTGGCATCTGAAAAATCTTGGAGAGTATGATCTGGAACTGAAAATGTGGAACAGATGTCCAATGTCACAGGCTTTGCGAGCAGAGAGAGTTTGACCTGGGACCTGAAATGAAGGTGGAAACGTGCTGGCAAGGAGCCCCAGGCAATGGAGGAGAAATGAAGCTGGGAGACCTGGGAGTTGGGGTGGAGATGTGGAAACATTCCTGGCATGGGGAACCCCAGGGGCAAAAGCTCAGAAGAGGGGAAAAGCAGGTTCAGAACTGTGAGTGTTGACTGTTTGTGTCCTTCTATGTAGGCAGTTATCAGCTGGGAAGGCATCAAGGGTGTTGGCAGAAATTAGGCTGGGCAGAGGTCATATGGGAGCTGTTAGTTTGCTGGGGCTGCCATAACAAAGAACCACAAGCTGAGGGGCTTAAATAATAGAAATGCATTGTCTCCCCCCAGTTCTGGAGGCTGGAAGTCCAAGATGAAGGTGTAGGCAGAGTTAGTTCCTTCTGAGGGCTATGAGGGAGAATCTGTTCCAGGCTTCTTCCACAGCTTCTGATGGTTTGCTGGCCACTCGTTGGCAATCTCTGCCTTCATGTTCACAGGATGTATGTGTCTCTGTGTTCAAATTTCCCCTTTATATAAGAATGTCAATCATATTGACTTAGGGCTTACCCTAATGACCCCATTTTAACTTTATTAGCACTGTAAAGATCCTATCTCCTAATAAGGTCATGTTCTGAAGTACTGGGGGTTAGGATTCTAACATATCTTTTTGTGGGGCCTGTATTCAACCCATATCAATGTCCATCTGCTATGGTTTAAAAGTTTGTGTCCCTCCAAAATTCACGTCAAAACTTAATCCCCATTGTGACAGTATTAAGAGGTAGGGCCTTTTGGGAAATGATTAAATCATGAAGGCTCCACCTTTGTGAATGTCCTTATAAAAGAGGCTCCAGAGAGCTGCCTGGTCCTTCCATCTCATCTGCCATGAGTTCATCCTTTGTTGTCCCCTTTTACCATATGAGGATACAGCAAGAAGGCAGCATTTTGGAAGCTGAGAGCATCCCACATCTGACACTGAATCTGCTGGTGCCTTGATCTTGGACTTCCCAGCCTCCAGAACTGTGAGAAATAAATTTCTGTTCTTTATAAAATACCCTAGTCTTGGGTTTTTTATTATAGCAGCACAAACGGACTAAAATATCACCCTTGCATACCTAGCTTTGGTGCTTGGACGCCACCTAAATTCTTACCCCTCTCCACAGAGTTATTCTCTTTAAATAAAGCCCAAATTACATGATAGCTCTCCTCACCTGCCTTTTCTTCTTAGTGCTTTTGATCATTTGTAATTATGTATGTATTTATAGGTAACCATTGCCTGTGCCCCATGGGACCATCAGTCCATGAAGGCAGGGAAGGATGATGTTTTGCTCACTGTTGTGCCTTCAAGGCTGGAAGAGCTCTAGCACATTGTAGCCACGTGAAAATGAATGTGAATGAGTGAACCGACATGTGAATAATGCATCTGAAGGGAATGAGGAACCACCCACAGGATTCAAGCTGAGAAGGACTTTAGGAAATGGGGGAGGCTGACCTGGAGGGAGATGCAGTGGCCTAGAGAGAGGTGATGCTAGCCCCAGGAGGGGAAGGGCAGGGGGGAATGAAGGGAGGGGACCAGGCATGGTGGCTCATGCCTATAATACCAGCACTTTCAGAGGCCGAGGCAGGAGGATCACTTGAGCTCAGGAGTTCAAGACCAGCCTGGGCAGCATGGTGAAACTCCTTCTCTACAAAAAATACAAAAATTAGTTGGGAGTGGTGGTGCATAACTGTAGTCTTAGCTACTCAGGAGGATGAGCTGGGGAGATCTCTTGATCCTGGGAGATGGAGGATGCAGAGAGCCGAGATTGCACTACTGCACTCCAGCCTGGGTGTTGGAGTGAGACCTTGTCTGGAAAAAAGAGAAAGTGTTAAGGGGAGGGACAAATAGGTTTCAACAGGCCTCAAGGACAAGCAAAGGAGGACCCAAACCACCCCCATCCCCTGGGCAGCAGCTGTGCCAGCTGGCAGGGCTCACTCAGGCCCTGACCCTCCTACCTGCCAACCATGTGGTCAGCAAATGAGTTTTCCCACAGGTGCTGACCTTCGCTTCCTTCCCACAGTAGACAGCTGGCACCTTGGGCCTTCTTGGTGCCATGGGCAGGCAAGTGGGAGTAAATGAGTGCTACTGGGTGGCAGCCTAGGGGGCCCAGCTGCCTGCCTTGGGCCACCCTGCAGAAGAGACCAGGCAGGCTTGGGACTGCTTAGGAGCACCCAGTGTGTCTCTTCTCAACTACTGGTGACTGTGGCAGGGGTACCCAGCCCTCTTTGGAGAGCAGCTTGGTGCAAAGACAATGTTCCTTGATAAGCCTAGATTCCATCTATTTCACAGATTAACAAACTGACCTGCAGGAGGAGAGACAATAGCACCATAGTAGGAGAAGAAGCCCAGAGGTCAAGTCCCTCCTCTTCCATTCACCCTCACACTAAGCCCTTTAACCTTTCTGGGCCTCTGTTGTCTCAGCTGTAAAATGGGAATTAAATAAGACTCTCTATTTCTTGAATGTTTTACAACTCTAAGAGCTTGGATTTGATCACTGCCATTTATCTGAGGTCAGCTTCTAAACCACCACCACCTGATTCCTTTCCCGTTCTTAGCTCTCTCCCATGGCCCTTAACATCTGCCCTTGGGACTATATGCCCCAGATGTGTTTGCTCAGTTTACTCCTCATTACCTTGGACATTGTTACCTCTTGGGTGATTTCTTATCCCCTTTAGAAAGGGTTTAAGTGATGTGCTCCTTCAGGGTGACTGTTGCTTGAATAGAAAAGCAACATCCTTTCTCTAGGTTGCAGTTTCCAAAATTTCTGGTGGGGTCCCAGATTTGAAAACAACCTTGGAAGAAGATCACCTAAGTCAACCCTTACATGCTGCTTGACTTCTGCCAACCTCTGCTCATGTCGTAATGTCATTCAAGTGGGGCAGAGAGCTCATTCCCCCACCGACAAAACTCCATTCTATTTTCCAACGAGTCTAAGCTCTGGAAAGTTTTTCTTTACACTGTGCAAATCTGCCTCAGTGAGTCCTTCCAGAGCAGGGGTGACTGTGATCTGACTTGGCACTCAGAACAGAGTCTGAATAAAGCAGACCAGGAAATAACAATAATTGCTTCTTGCCTAAAGGAACTGCAACCTCCTCTTTTTTTTTCTAGCTCCGCTTTCTGGGGTGGATGTTGACCAGATGATATGCCACTGGCCACTCAGTGAGAAGTTTTCTTTGACTATTCATGGCTAGAGCCAGGTGAGGATGATGATGGGACCCACAGGTTATCTGAAAGTGCCTTAGCTAAACCACACCAAAGGTTATGAGCAAGCCACAGAATGGGTTGGCTACTGCATGGGTGGCTAAACCAAAAATCAAAGAACTACACAATCCAAAACCCTCTGTCTTTCCTAAGAAAGACAGAAATCCTCGTTAGGAATATAGAGTCAGGAAAGGAAGGTGCCTAGCTAATCCCTTAAAATGGACCACAGGCCTCTGTACAACTGCAGTCATTCTCTCTCCGGGGGAGTCCAGTGCCCAGTTGCACCTGTCAGAGCCTGGAAAAGAAATACTCCAACCTCTTCCTTCCACCATCCCACCTGCTGATACCTCCCATTGGCTAAACCCAATCAGAGGGCCAAGGGTCAAGTAGCCCAGGGAGGAAGCCCATAGAGGCAGCCTCAGGGCACCGAGCAGAGAGTAAGAAGAAGGGGGACTACATCTGGGGACACAAATAGGATCAGCTCATCACCAACCTAATGAATCATTAACTTTTTTTGTTGTTGTTGTGGTTTGTTTTGTTGTTGTTGTTGTTGTTGTTGTTTTAGAGACAGGGTCTCCCTATGTTGCCCAGGTTGGACTTAACTCTTGGGTTCAAGTGATCCTCCTGCCTCCTTAGCCTCCTGAGTAGCTGGGACTACAGGCACCACATCTGGGTAAAATGAGTCATTAACTCTTAATTCCCCATGTTCACATCTGGCAAGTATTTACTGATTACTTACTATCTGGCAGGTGCTGTGCTAGGCTGTCACAACATAGCAGTGACTACACAGAACTTGACCCTTTTGTCAAGACAAGACCTAAACAAATTGTCATGGAAATGTCGTTATCAATTGGGATACTTTCTATGAAAGCAAAGATAAGGAACATGACAAGAGATGTTAAGGAAGGTCTGGTTTCAATTTGAGGATTGAAAAAGGCTTCTTTGTAGGCTGAACCCTGAGGTATGACTTTGATTTAGGCAGGGAAAGGGGAGAGTGTCAGGAAGAGGAAATAGAATGTGAAAAGACCCTGAGACAAGCACTTTCAAGAGACCACCTGGAGTTTAGTGAGCAAGGGAGAGACACAGGTGAGGCCAGGGATGGAGAGAAGGTCCAGAGAACACCACACTCTAAAGGCCACGGTAAGGAGTTTGGATGTTTTCCCAAAAGCTACCGGCACCCACTGGTCCCATGTCATGGGCCTTGGGCTTCATTCAGCCTCATGTTGTCATTCCAGGCTCCTCAGTGGGGTCACTTATGCACATCAGTGTTGAGCCTTAGACCTAACCTCCTCTCTCAGCTGCCGAACACCTCCAGGGGCAGTGGGTGGTGACGTCAGGCTTTGGATTTGCTGAGACATAGGTGACCCCATTCAGGCTTCATCATCACTACAGATTCCAGAAGACTTTTTTTTCTTCTTTTTAAATTTATTTCATTTATTTTGGAGACAGAGTCTCACTCTGTTGCCCATGCTGGAGTGCAGTGGCATGATCTCAGCTTATTGCAATGTCTGCCTCCCGGGTTCAAGCGACTCTCATGCCTCAGCCTCCCTAGTAGCTGGGACTACAGGCATGCGCCACCATGCCCGGCTAATTTTTATATTTTTAGTAGACACGGGGTTTCACCATGTTGGCCAGGCAGGTCTCGAACTCCTGGCCTCATGTGATCTGCCCACCTTGCTGGGATTACAGGCGTGAGCCACCACACCCAGCCAGAAACCTTGACTTTTCTTAAGCCCATTGAGATAAGAAAGTTCATTCTTGGCTTCCCTCAGCTCCACACTCTTCCAGCCTCAGAATTCTCAGAAGAGAGTTTCAAAAAAAAAAAAAAAAAAAGCTATTTTTCTACACATGAAACCCTCAGGAAATTGCTGGCAACCTCGTGCTTCTGGGATTGATCAAAGGCCAGGGGTGGAATGGGAAGCAGCTAGAGCTCCCATCCAGCTGCTGGTGGGAATTACGCTGGTGCGACCACTTTGGGAAGCCGTCTGGCAGCATCTCCTCAAGCTGAACACACTCCAGGACCCTCACAATACTCCTGGGCATAAACCCAGGAGAAATGAGTGCATATGTCTACCAAAAGACCTGCACTAGACTAGAATGTCCTTAGCAGTAGTGTTCATAATAGCCCCAAACTGGAGAATTCAGATGTCCACCAACAGCAGAATGGATAAACAAATTGTGCTGTATTCTTACAGAACTATATCAATACCATACAGCAATAAAAAATAATTACTGATACACGTAACAATGTGAACGAATCTCAAAAATGTCTTGAGGGGGAGAAAAGCAAGACGCTAAAGAGTACATACTGTATTATTACATTTATATGACATTCTAGAGCAGACAAAACGAACCTATGATGATGGAAATCAGAGTATTGTTACAAGGGTGGTGATGGTGGTAGAAAGATCTGGCTGCTGGAAATGGTTTTTTTTTTTTTTTTGAGATGGAGTGTCTCTGTCACCCAGGCTGGAGTGCAGTGGCGCGATCACAGCTTACTACAAGCTCCGCTTCCTGGGTTCACGCCACTCTCCTGCCTCAGCCTCCTGAGTAACTGGGAATACAGGTGCTTGTCACCGCACCCGGCTAATTTTTTTGTGTCTTTAGTAGAGACGGGGTTTCACCGTGTTAGCCAGGCTGGTCTTGATCTCCTGACCTTGTGATCCACCCGCCTCAGCCTCCCAAAGTGCTGGGATCACAGGCGTGAGATAAAACTATACTTAGGTTTTCTTTTTTTTTTTTTTTTGAGATGGAGTCTTGCTCTGTTGCCCAGGCTGGAGTGCAGTGGCGGGATCTCGGTTGACTGCAAGCTCCGCCTCCCAGGTTCATGCCATTCTCCTGCCTCAGCCTCCCGAGTAGCTGGGACTATAGGTACCCACCACCACACCCGGCTAATTTTTTTTTTGCATTTTTAGTAGAGACGGGGTTTCACCATGTTAGCCAGGATGGTCTCGATCTCCTGACCTTGTGATCCACGCACCCAGGCCTCCCAAAGTGCTGGGATTACAGGCGTGAGCCACCGCGCCTGGCCTGTACTTACATTTTCAACTTAAGATGTATGCAGTTTGGTGTATCTAAATTACACACCCATTTAAAACATGGCAGGATGGCACCTGGTTATTCACCTAGGTTCTTCTGTAGCAGTGAAGAAAAGAAAATACCTCCCCTTCTTATCTCCAGGTCAAGGTACAGTCTGTGCAGCTCAGAAACACTTTTAAAACAAGCTATATTATTTCTAAACAAAGTTGTATTTGAACAGTGTTCATGTTCATTTTATTCTTTTTTTTTTTGAGACAGAATCTCGCTTTGTCACCTAGGCTGGAGTGCAGTGACGCAATCTCAGCTCACTGCAAACTCTACCTCCCCAGTTCACGCCATTCTCCTGCCTCAGCCTCCCAAGAAGCTGGGACTACAGGGGCCCACCACCACACCCGGCTAATTTTTTGTATTTTTAGTAGAGATGGGGTTTCACCGTGTTAACCAGGTTGGTCTCGATCTCCTGACCTCATCATCTGCCCGCCTCAGCCTCCCAAAGTGCTGGGATTACAGGCGTGAGCCACCGCGCCTGGCCTCATTTTATTCTTTGGAGCTTCGTCTGTGAGGTTGCGTTCATTTTTGTCCTCTGTCTAGACTCTCTAATAGGGAAGGTAGCCCTCCACCTACCCCACCCCCAAAGTAAGTAAGGTGTCTGTCTTCAAAAACAGTCAGTTCCACTGAGCAACAAGTCTCCTGACTTCCTAGGCCCGCACAATCTGTCAAGAGCAACAGGACGACACGATGGGTTTGGGGGATCATGTGTCCAAAGGGATTTTGTTCCAGAGATGCTATGCGCGGCATGATGTTTCCCTGTTACCACTTTGGGAACACAATCTCTTGGCAACTAAACCTGTAAACTCAGATTAACAGAGCTCTTTCCCTTCCCAAAGTTGGTTTTCCTTTCCTTGAATCTTACTTAATAAACATTGCTGCTCCCAGGGTTGAGTTGGTTTTATGTGTTTACGATAAGTTAGGTTCAAAGCGCCCACGTGCAGTGCCTTATCTATCCTGCCCCGGCCTTTCCTCTAAGGAGTCCAAAGGATAAAGCCTGGTTATAAAAGGCCACAGCCAACCTGCTGGGCTGTGAGTGGAAGCTCTGGTGCAGCATGGTAAGTCAGGGCCCCATGTGAGCAGGGGATTTGGCAGGGCGGGGGCAGCCCAGGCTACAAGAGGGACGTGGCCCAGAGGCGGGGAAGCCACCACAGTGGAGCCCCTGAGTCCAGGGTCCTAGTGTGCTGCTGTCTAACTCCCTGTGCACTGGGAGGACTCAGCCTCAGGGTCCCCACCTCAAGGGAGAGCCCTGTGGGGCCCGGGTTGCGGGGCGTCTGTTCTACTCACTGTCCTTGTGACCCGGGCTCCTGACCCAGCTGGGTCCTGCCCCTGCCAGCCTCACTGTGCGCATGGGTCTGTGTGTGTCTGTGTTTCCATCCATGTAGATGCTGCCCCCTTGGACCCTCGGCCTTCTCCTGCTGGCCACAGTCAGAGGTGAGGATGCTGTCACCATTCCTTTAGGGAGAAAGTGACATGCCTGGGCTGGCCTTTGGTGAGGCAGCTAGAGGTATATTAATAATTATTATAATGATTATGAAGAGCATTATCGTTACTTGGAGAAAACAATTGTGCCACTCAGAGAGTGTTGACTCTCAGGCAGACACAGGGCAACGTGCCGGACACAGAGTATCTCCCGTAACCCTCCTACTTGGCCACCTTCTTCCTGCAAAGACTCTCACGGCTGGGAGACAAGTGGAGGGTGTGGTGTTCCCACCTGATCCCAATGCCCTTGTCCTTGCCTGCAGACCAAAGTCATGTGGATGTGCCCTCTCCCAAGAAAGCCCAGTCCTGCCAGGCAAGCCTGCCTTTCTGCCATCAAGCCCACGTGTCCTCTTCTCAGAGTCACCGTTTCTGTCTCTCCAGTTTGTTCCCCCGACCTGGTTCTGTCCAGAGGAGATACAGATATTCAAGTTCTACTTATCCTAAAACACAAATCACCTCCGTTTCTTTTGGAGCCCCCTGAGCCCCAGCCTGCTGACTTCCCATCTGCCTACGCCTTCACAGGCGTGCTTCCTCCGGGAGTCTTTCCCTCTCCGTGGGGGCTGCCTCACCTCCTCTCCTGCCAGAATACCTCACTGCCCAATTTGGTCCCCCAAGTCCTGCTGTAGGAGACATGGTCTCCTTGGGTCCCTGTGGGGGCTTTCTTCTGCCTTGTGACTCTTCCCCCTTGTCTTCTCAACCCCGCCAGCCCACTCTTGGCCTCTCCTTCCATCCTGGCCATGAATTAAGGCCAGGCTCCTGACGGCAGAGACCGGGGTGGGTGCGACTGCTCCTCCGGCCATACAACCCCTCTTCATCTCCTTTGCTGACCTGCAGCCTCCTCCTGCCCCAAATGTGGACATTCCCCAAGGCTCACGCCAGGCTCTCTCCTCATCTCTCTCCTCCTAGGGCCTTCCTTCTTGCCCAGCTTCCTGGTCTTCCCGAGTTGCAAGAAGCCCTATCAGGGCCAAGCCTCAAGCCTCAAGCCTCACTCTCACTTCCCTGCCCCCAGCCTTCTCAGGCTTTTCTGCTTTTCAGCCCCCTGTACTCGAGTCCCAAAAACACAGGACTGCCTGTGGAAGCACAGCATTGCCACTGCCACCACCACCTCCCCTCAACCTCACCAACTCACACCTTCCAACACTTTCCTGCTCTCCACTTAAGAGAGCCCAGGTGTCTTGCATTCGAGCCCCTTCATTTAACCAGCTACCTTTCCCCTGGGGCAAACATTGCTTAAGCCTCCTAGAGTCCACCTCCAAGGGTGCACCCTCTTCCTGGAATGAATTCAACGCCATCAGTATTGCTTCCCTATTAGAGCTCCTCCCTTTCAGGACAGGGTTCATATCTCATTTATCTTTGTGTCCCCTCAAGTTCTAGCTTTATTCCCAGTTAAACTTCTTGGGTTCAAATCCTGCCTCCACCACTAGCTGTGACCTCAGGTAGCTTACCTTGTCTCTCTGTGCCTTGGTTTCCTCAGCAGTAAAATGGAGATAATACTAATTCCATATTTGTGTTTTCAGGCTTAAATGATACTATACCAGTAAAGTACTAACATGGTATCTGGCACATAGTAAACAAATATAAACTATTATGCATTTTTTTAATGATTCACCAATATTTGGCATCATCAGTACAGGAGTTGAGGAAGCATAAGAGAAAGGACCCATTATAATCCTTTGGGTTGGAATTATGTCACCCGTAGTGACCATATCCTGTGATCATGTTTATGTCATGGACACAGAAAGTACTCTCAGACTTAGATGTGGTTACTTGGATCATGGATTACATGTATTGAGTCTCTACTACACGTAGTGTGATACACAAGTCATTCCTGTTCTTAAGAAACTTACTTTTTCAAAGAGCAAAAGAGAAAATATGAAACGGCAGAGAATCACCCTTTCAAAAAAATGTGCATAAAAGGATGACATGAAGACATGTGAATTGGTGTGGGCACGGCCTATGCTGTGTGTAATAGAGATGTCAAGACAAAGTAGCAACTCTGTGCTACAGAGTTTGTAGGCACTCGATAAATACTCACTATTTGATGCTTACATGTAAAGAGTCAGCTGCAAGTTTCCTGAAAGAGGTGGTTTTAAGGCAGCAGTTTGTATTAGGTTGGTGCAAAAGTAACTGTGGTTTTTACCATTGAAAGTAATGGCAAAAACCGCAATTATTTTGCACCAACCTATGCATCAGCAATTCCCCAATTTGCCTAATGGTAAGGGGCACTTACTGAATATGTGTTTCTAGGACCCCACCCCAGACCCTCTGAACCAGAATCTCTGAGGGAGGGACCTATGAATGTGTATGTACAATACACCTGTTCCCCATACTGCCGCCTGCCCCCACCCGCCCTTCCCACCCCGCGACGCCGCAGCCCCCAGGTGATTCTTATCATCCCAGAGGTTTGGAAAATGATGGCAAAGATAAAGACCAGCACTGGCCTTAGCCAAACCTGGGCTCTGTCCTGCAGAGTTTTCCTGTATGGATATGACGTTGCTTCTTTCCAGAAGTTCACACATGTCCTGTTTGTGGCTCACCCTAGGAAAAGAGGTCTGCTACGGACAACTTGGCTGCTTTTCTGATGAAAAACCATGGGCAGGAACCCTTCAGCGACCTGTAAAATTACTTCCCTGGTCCCCCGAGGACATTGACACCCGCTTTCTTCTGTACACAAATGAAAATCCAAACAACTTCCAAGTAAGAGCAGGCATGTAAGCGCTGCATGGTGGGTGTATTTGGGCCGCCACAGTGGAGTCTTTGCATGGCTGTCTAGGGCATAAGTCACTGCCCTGGAATTTTCCAGAAACTCCAAGGCATAGAATCCAAGGCGTAGCTCTCAGGATCATAAACACCTGAGTATCTGATGAAATCTACTGATGCCTAACCCAGAAACTTACACATTCACACACACTGGTGCAGAGAACTTCAGGGGCTACCCCAGCGTAAATGCCTTGTTCCCTGGGAGGAAGGGACTATGAGCAGCATTTATGGAGAAGCCCAGGCCTGGTGTAGCCACCGGAAAGTCTGCCTCGTTTCTACACAGGAGAGTGGAGGGGGAGAAGCCTCTTGGGCATTGGGGGTGGGGGTGGGTGTAAATTCTTCCTGAAGAGCTAGGAGACAGGTAGGGGAGAGGGGACATGTAGCCACAATAGATAAAAGATGAGGTCCTCTGGAGCAACCTCCAGTTTTCAGCAGGTCTGCCCATCAGAAGCAGATCAGACTTGCTCCAGAGTGTCAGAAGTGACCAGGAGACAGTTTCAAGAAAGACATTGCTGAGAATCCAGCAGCTCACAGCTCTGGTCCCTGACAGAGTTTAGGGAGCCAGGTGCTGTCAATAGGTTTCTGAGGTCACCCACTGTGGGACTCTATCTGACAGACCAGCCTTCTTAGTGCCCCCAGCCCAGAGTCGGCTTGGACATGGTTACGGTGCGTCTCATCTGTAGGGGTTGGTGGCATCTTCTGGCATCTCATCTGTAGAGGTTGGTGGCATCTTCTGGCGTCTCATCTGTAGGGGTTGGTAGAAGGGGGTCGAGCAGCCTGTGGCAATTTAGAAGTGCATTCCAAAGTCTCACAGCTCCACTGAACTGAATTTGCTCCCACACTTAAGCTTCTGGTCCAGGGGTTCCTCACCTTTTCTGTGCCAGGAACCTCTCTGGCCACCTGGAAGAAGCCTAAAGGCCCCTTCTTAGGTCAATTTTTTGTTGTTGTTGTTTTTTGTTGGTTTGTTTGTTTTTTTTGAGACAGAGTCTTGCTCTGTCACCCAGGCTGGAGTGCAGTGGCGCGATCTCGGCTCACTGCAAGCTCTGCCTTCTGGGTTCATGCCATTCTCCCGCCTCAGCCTCCTGAGTAGCTGGGACTACAGGTGTCTACCACCACACCCAGCTAATTTTAGTAGAGACGGGGTTTCACCGTGTTAGCCAGGATGGTTTCGATCTCCTGACCTTGTGATCCGCCTGCCTCAGCCTCCCAAAGTGCTGGTATTACAGGCGTGAGCCACCGTGCCCGGCCAGGTCAATGTTTTTAAATGCAGAAATAAAATATATTGGATTACAAAAGAAACGAATTATATTGAAAAATAATTACCAAAACATTTAAATATATAAATATGTGATATAGTCATATATGTGCTTTTTATATATCATTAAATAACAAGATCTAGGGGTTGGTCTAATAACTACTATAATTTAAAATATTAATGAGTATAAATGATATTTTTAGATATCTGCAATAATTACATTATGACCTGAAAATACCTGTGACTTCTACCGGGGACAGAGTCACAGGTGTTGCTAATACCACTGTGGTTTATTGTCTAGTTTTGTGATTAACTGAAATGCTAGATATGGATTAAGGATTAACTAAAATAGAAAGTCTGTGAATTTGGACTTTCTGAAATCTATCCACAACCCCAGGTCAGGAGCTCCTTCTAGTCTGACCCAGCTTTGTGGGCATTGAAGCTGTGATATCAATTCTGAAACTGGCTCTAATAGACTCGTGGCTTGGAAAGGGCAACATTCAAATTAATCTTTTTAAATTAAACCAGCTAATCACTGGCACGGAACCAGACACCATTGAGGCTTCAAACTTCCAACTGGACCGCAAGACACGCTTCATCATCCATGGCTTCTTAGACAAGGCGGAGGACAGCTGGCCATCGGACATGTGCAAGGTAGGGCCCTACCACTTGGCCACTCCCTGGTGAGACCAGCACCCAACACACAGATTCAAACACTGTACCCCCAGTTTCCCTTAGACTGGGAAAAGAAATACTTCAGAGAGAGATGGGTCCTTTTTAAAACCACCGAGGAAAGCCCAGTTCCAAAGGGCATCCATTACCAAGCTCTCTCTACCTACCAATTTCTAGCCAACAATCTCCTATGAGGCTGAAGACACCCAGAGTTCAGTCAAAAAGTCTCGAGGTGGAGACTGCAGCAAACTGCTGGGCATTTATCCCTGAGGACTTATGTAAAACCCCTTTGTGATGTTAAAAACACTTAAATTTTACCCTCTAAAGCACCGCTATCCAATAGAATGTTCTGCAGTGATGAAGGTGTTCTATATATGCACTGTCCAAATCAGAAGCCACTGGCCACATAAGTTATTCAGCACTTGAAATGTGGCTGGTGCAAACGAGGAGCTGAATTTGACATGTTATTGAGTAGTAGTAGTCTGCTCACACCTGATTTAGTAAGTGGTCTTTTTAACCTGGTTGTGTTCCTAACGATGTGTGAGACCTCAGACACGTCACTCACCCATTCCAGGGTTCAGTTTCCATATCTGTTAAGCGGGTACTAGCATGTCCAGTCCATAGCACTGCAGTGAGGGTGACGTTATGGCAGGTATAAGAACATCAAAGCTCTGGCATGGGCTAGGTGTTTGACAGACGTGAATGCCTATCTCTGGGGTGTGCACCTGGGGGCTGTTTATAAATTGATTTCTCTCCCTTGTTTGTCTTCCCCAGAAAATGTTTGAAGTGGAGAAGGTGAACTGCATCTGTGTGGACTGGAGGCACGGGTCCCGGGCAATGTACACCCAAGCCGTGCAAAACATTCGGGTTGTTGGGGCGGAGACAGCTTTCTTAATACAAGCACTGTCGGTAAAACCCTGCCTGGGCCCTGTCCTGTGGGTAGGGGTCAGAGAGGGGCAGGGAGGTACCACGTGGCATGGAGAGGCAGCCTGGGGACCCGTGGGCATGGGTAGGGGCCGGCAGCTAGTAGCCCAGATTGCAATCAAGAAGGGCAATTCCCAAGATGAAGCTCTGCAACCTTCCTCTTTGCCTGCTGTCCTGAAGACACCTTGCCCTATCACTGTCTAGCTGTGGGGCCTGAGGCAAACTAAGCCTTGGTTTCCCCTTTTGAAATAGACCTTCCTTGCAGGCTGTTCTGCAAGGGTCAGAGAGCAGGCTGGGCTGCCCCGCAGCTCCCAGTGCAGAAGATGAGTTTTCATCCTTCGCCAGCCCACGAGGGAAGGCCCTGGACCTTTCTGCAGGATCTATCGGGAGGGGGCGGGGGGAGCCAGAGATAGGGCCCACTCTACCCGTGCTTGCCCAGACAGGCCATACCCCTGGCAGGGACGAGGAAAGGGAGCTGGGGGTGGGGCAGTCCCGGGCGGCAGGCCGTGTGCCACGCCCGCCCAGGTGGCCTGCAGTTGGCGTGGTGGCCGCTGGTCAGCACTGTTGCCCCGCGCACGAGCCGGCCTGCGGGACTCGCAGGCTGCAAATAGGAAGCGGGGTCGCCCTGCCCCAGGCGGCGTGCTCGAGCCCGGGTCCTGCCCCCATCCCTGGCAGGGCCCGGCGCCCCGCTCTCAGACCAGCGGGTCCCCACGCGGTGCTGTGGGACCTGACACGCTATCCCTCCGCAGACGCAGCTAGGGTACAGCCTTGAGGACGTGCATGTCATCGGCCACAGCCTGGGCGCGCACACGGCCGCGGAGGCGGGCAGGAGGCTGGGGGGCCGCGTGGGCAGGATCACAGGTAGGGGTCGCGGGGCCCCGGGCCGGAGTCCCAGGCCCCCGGGTGCGCACCTCGGAAGCCTCGGCCAGCGCCTTTCCGACGGCGAAGGGCGCCCCTGATGGTCCTCCTGGGGACCCGATTTTTTGTGATGACCGGCCTTAAATTTAAAAATAATTTTCCATAATGTGTATTAGAAAATAGATAATTAAAAATAAAAATGCATTCATTTTTTAAAACAAAGGCTGGGCCACTGGCTCACACCTGTAATCCCAGCACTTTTGTAGGCTGAGGCGAGAGAATCGCTTGAGGCCAGGAGTTCAAGACCAGTTTGGCAACATGGTGAAACCTTGTCTCTATAAAAAATTTTTAAAGTTGGCCAGGGGTGATGGCTCTGCCTGTAGTCCCAGCTACTCGAAAGGCCCAGGTGGGAGGACTGCTTGAGCCTAGGTGTTCCAGGCTGCAGGGAGCTGTGATAGCTCCACTGCACTCCACCCTGGGTAATAAAGGGAGACTGTATCTCAAAAAAAAAAAAAGAGAAAGGAGGAAAGAAAAGAAGGAAAGGAGGCAAGGAAAGAAAGAAAGAAAGAGAGAGAGAGAGAGAGAGGGAGGGAGGGGAGGGAAGGAGAAAAGTGAGGCCGGGCGCAGTGGCTCACGCCTGTAATCCCAGCACTTTGGGAGGCCGAGGTGGGTGGATCACGAGGTCAGGAGATCCAGACCATCCTGGCTAACAAGGTGAAACCCTGTCTCTACTAAAAATACAAAAAATTAGCCGGGTGTGGTGGGGGGCACCTGTAGTCCCAGCTACTCGAGAGGCTGAGGCAGGAGAATGGCATGAACCCGGAAGGCGGAGCTTGCAGTGAGCGGAGACCGTGCCACTGCACTCCAGCCTGGGCGACAGAGCGAGACTCCACCTCAAAAAACAAAAAAAAAAAAAAAAAAAAAAAAAAAGAAAGAAAGAAAAGAAAAGGAGAAAGATTTAACTAGCACATTAAATCCATGACTTAAGAGCTATTATTTTCAGAGTATGGCAAAGTAAAAGAAAAAATGTGAGATGGTTTTAAAAATTCGTCAGTTCCACGTAATTGTTTGAATGTCTCTACTGCGCCAGGCAAAGACAGAAAATGCAAATGCACACTGAGACCTGCCATATAGAAGGCGCTCAGTAAATACTGAATGAATGAATGAAGCACTAAACTGAATGCATATAAGGCAAAGACACAAATAACTTAATTTTGTGCAGCCAAATCAGTTTGTAACTTCACCAAACAGTTCACATCAACATTTAATGAGCGTCCCTTTGCCCAAGGCACTGGGTGAAGGATGAGGGGGTATTGGTTTGTGTTTATGTAGAATTTTGCAGTTTGCAAAGTCCCTTCTCTTACATCTCTTCATGAGGGTTTCACAACGACTCTGTAAGGTAGGGGTTGTCATTATTCCTGCTTTCCCGATAAGGATACAGAAGCTCAGAGAGGGCAGACATTTGACCTGGAGTAGAACTAGGGCAAGAATACAGGCCACTGTGTGCCCCCTCCTCCCACGCTCTGTTTCTCTCTGAAGATGACCTGGGGACAGCATAATACAAAGTGGATGGAATGGGCTGAGAAAGGAGAGGGGTTAGATTTTCCATTTAACCATGAGGAGGTGGTGTGTGAGCTGGGTTTGGAGGAGAAAGATTTAGATAAAGGAAGAATGTGGGAAAGAGCACAGCAGGCTGGAGAATGGCGTGAGCCAAACAAAGGAGTAGATGCTAGCAGCTGGGTAAGGCCTGGGGTCTTGCAGTCTCTGAGAGCAGTGGCCAAATGGTAATGTGTGAGGACAAAAAGAAAAAGGGAAAGAAGGGGTGTACGGAGGCTACCCAGATCCTCCACGGAGCCAGGCACTGGGTATTTCTGAATGTTCATCCACAGGCAATGACCCCATTCCCAGCCTTTCTGTCCCAGACTCTCTCTCCCAGGCAGACCAAGAACTGCAGACCCAATCCCCAGAACCATAGCTGCTGGGGTAGGAGGAATCCTCATGCTTAGTCTGCCAGTACTGGCTTTAAATCCCAGTTCTTAAGAGTCCAGCCTGCCTACCTTCTCCCTTTCAGGGCTGGATCCAGCAGGGCCGTGCTTCCAGGATGAACCTGAGGAGGTTCGGTTGGATCCATCTGACGCCGTGTTTGTGGATGTGATTCACACAGATTCTTCTCCCATAGTTCCTTCCCTAGGTGAGTTCCTCAATCCCATCTCCTGCTGACCTGTGCTACAGCTAATGACATTGGGTCCAGATATCCCCTCTCACACATACATACACACACAGCAGGGGAGGCCATTTGAAATAGCTACAGGAATGGCTTGGGCACCAACCAGTCAAAATGGGTACCAGTCCCAAATAAATAGCTAGTTCAATGCCAGTGGAATCAGCGTGCAGCCCTGGGTTAAACAAAAACCCTTCTGTAGTCTATGAAAGGTTGTCAATCAATCTTCAAACTCTGCATCCTTCCCCAATCTACCAGTAACTAGTGGGGCAGATGTATTCATTCTTAAAACTTGACCTGTACTTGCAAAATACGAAGTTAATTTTTGAATATTTTTCTTACTTCTTCAGTCAAAGCTTTGGTTACACTTTGTTTTGTTGGCAACTTTATCCCATTCTTTAATTCTTCTAAAATCAGTGTTTTTTTTTCAATATTTTCTTATATAGCCACTCATGAAACTTGCCAATAAAGGGTATGTTTTTGATGATGATGATGATGATGTTATCACTTACTTAGTGTTTACCATGTGCTACACTGAACATTTTGCATACATTAGCTTGTCAATTCTGTAACACTCTAAAAAGTGGGCTTTATTACCACCATTTCATGGCTGAGGAACTGAGGCTCAATTAGGTTAAGTAATTGACCCAGATCACAAAATCTGTAAGTAAAACCAGGATTTGATCACGGGTTCATATGCTTTGAAAGCCAAAGAGCCTAGCCATATGCTACGGCTCACAATATAACAATATAATGTTATGTAGTCTCCACATAACAATATAATGTAGACATCAAAATTTTAAAATGAGTAAAGTAATACAAATTGCACCAGTCTTGATAGGTCTACTGGTGCATAATGGTAGCAGGGCATATCAATATGGTCCAAGACTCTCCGAGACACACAGATGCACATCCAAATGTATGTGTCTCACTCACCCAAAGCTCAGCCTCCCCCTCATCTCACTTCCTCTGCCCTCTCCTCCGTCCTCATCTTGCCAAGCACCCATCTTTGAGAACTTTCTGCAGAGCTAGAGGCAGTGGTAGCTGTGATAAAGGGAGAATTTGCCAAAAAGGGTCTTGCTGTGGCCACACCCTAACTTTGGCACCAGTCACCTCGCCGCTCATCTCTGCTTCAAATATTTTAGGTTTCGGAATGAGCCAAAAGGTGGGCCATCTGGATTTCTTTCCAAATGGAGGAAAGGAAATGCCCGGATGTAAGAAAAATGTCCTTTCAACCATTACTGATATTGATGGAATATGGGAAGGTATGTAAATTAAAGAAGTAAGACAGCAATTGCTCTGTTCGGGGAGAAAGCAGAATGCATGGTCTGGCCTTCATAATGCTGACATTTGCCACCGTTTATGGAGTGTTGTGAAAATGTGCCAGGCATTTTCACAGCAATGCAATGAGATAGTTACTCTGATTAGTTCCAGTTTGCAGATCCAAAAACTGAGGATCCGAAAAATTACATAACTCAATTGGGCGTGGTGGCTCATGCCTATAATCCCAGCACTTTGGGAGGCTGAGGTAGGCAGATCACTTGAGGTCAGGAGTTCAAGGACAGCCTGGCCAACATAGTGAAACCCCATCTCTACTAAAAACACAAAAATTAGTTGAATGTGATGGCATGCGCCTGTAGTCCTAGCTACTCAGGAGGCTAAGATATGAGAGTCACTTGAACCCAGGAGGTGGAGGTTGCGGTGAGCCGAGATAGCACCACTGCACCAGCCTGGGTGACGGAGTGAGACTGTCTCGAAATATATATATAAAAAAAGTTACATAGCTCATTCAAGGCCGCTCTATATCTAAGCCCAATTTCTAACTATAAAGCCCTGAGCTCATGCCCCAGCCTGTGTATCTCCCTGTTGTCGGCATCCTGGGACAGCGGCTTGGCTGGCATGTTGGCTCTGGCTTTGACCACCTATCCTACCTGCAGCACCTGCTCCTTGAAGAACTGCAGGACATAGGCCAAGATTTGAAGGCCTTGACTTGCTTGCTGGTTGCTGTTGTTGGGTGCTAGAAATGGAAGGGGACTTTGCTGAGAAGAAGACAAAGGAGGGATGTGCTCTGTGGGTTTGGGGTACACGTGTAGGAGGGGGAGGCCTGGAGGTCTGGGAGACCCATGGTGGCTGCTGGCCAGCTGTGTACATTTCTGTTCATCTGAGAGAGCACGGCCCATGCCCTGCCATTAGGCGACCTCATAGCCCCATCTGATTTGCTGCCCCTTGCTCTGGCCTTTTTTGATTCCTGTTGCCCCTCCCCTGACACCAGGCTTCACTCTCCTCCCTGAAAAGAGAGGTTTTGGGCCTGTGATAATTTTAGTCTATTTTTCTGAGCTGGGAGTTCCCCAAGGCCAAGGACTATGTTTTGCACATTTCAGACACTCCAGTACCCTGCTCAGGGCCTCATCCAAAGCAGGCACGAAATATACTTTTAAATTGAGTTGAGTAGCCTTGTGTGGCATTTTAATATTCCATGTGCTTAATGTCAAAGAGCAGAGTCGATAAAGCGATCGCCAGCATCCACCGGCAAATAAACGGAGCTTTTGCCCTCTCAGGTAACTCCTGGGGAGATGTGACCATTCCAGGCTCCCTGAAAGCACACCAGAGTCACAATAATAGCTGCCCCCTCCCACAAACGATGAGCAAGGCACACATAATAGGAACGAGTCCAGGTTTAATTAGAGAAGCAATGTCGAGTGAACAAGCCCATGAGCACTGGAGTGTGTTTCTATTGTGTCAAGCTCCGAGTCATCCAGGCAGTGGGCACTGAGGAATAATTAAATCCACTTTCTCCTCCATTATGGGGTCCCAGGGCAGCAATTTTGGATGAAAGAAACAATTAAGTTTGAAACAGGTTCTGTTGTCCAGTGATGAGCACCAGTGTGGGCACAGGGAACGTGGCTTCAGCTAGAAGTCGCTGGGCCGAGGGCCGGGAGCCGTGGAGTACGAAGCCACCCTGGGCACAAAGGGAAGTGTTCCTTTCTCAGTGGGTGGCAATAAAGCCCCGCAGACCCCCCAGGAGTGGTCCGCAGGTGTGCCAGGGTCACTGTGCATTTCTCCATGGGAAGTTTTCTACCAAGTAGCCAGAGAAATGAAAAAACACCTTTCCGGACTTTTTCTAAAGAAAAGGATGATAAATAAAATGCAGTAAGAGAGTGGCCAGAGGCCATGGCCACCTTGCCATCACCGCTTTTACCTTGTGCCCTGCATAGCAAAGAGGAAGAATCAAAAAGCCTGGTTGATGGGGAAGGCCTGCCCGGTATGTCCTCACAGGGATCCTCACAGGGATAGGATGCGGTCTGCAGCAGCATTGGATGGGCCGGCATGGTAACTGTTTTTAAGATGGGGATGCGCTGCCTTCACTCACGCATGCGAAGGTTTTCAGGTAGAAGTGGAGATCCTGGCTTCTTATGAAAAAATCAGAGGACCAGGCGATTTGGGGCTTTGAACATGTGACACCTGGCTAGACTGTGTAGGGTTAGAGGGGCCCTTTTTACAGCTATTGCTATCTTCTCTTAGTCTCTCTCTCTCTCTCTGTATGTATGTGTATATATACATATATATACATATATACATATATGTATGTGTATATATACATATATACACACATATATATACATATATACATATATAGTATGTGTATATATACATATATACACATATATAGTATGTGTATATATACATATATACACATATATAGTATGTGTATATATACATATATACACATATATAGTATGTGTATATATACATATATACACATATATAGTATGTGTATATATACGTATATACACATATATGTATGTGTATATACGTATATACACATATATAGTATGTGTATATACGTATATACACATATATAGTATGTGTATATACATATATACATATATAGTATGTATATATATACATATATACATATATGTGTGTGTATATATATACATATATACATATATATGTGTGTGTATATATATACATACACACACTTGTATATATCATAGCGTATGTGTGTATATATACTATATATATACACACACACGTATACCCTCTCTATGTCTCTCTCCTCTGTCTCTGCATCTCTCCTCTGTCTATCTATCCTCTCTCTCTGTCTTTCTGAATCTCTCTCTTTCTCATCACTATCTCTTTTTGTGTTTCTTTTTCTCTCTCCATTTCTCTCTCTGTCTCTGTCTCTCTGTCTCCCCCTCCACCGGCTCTCTGTCCCTCTCTGACTCTCTGTCTCTCTCTCTCCCCCCACCAACTCTCTGTCTCTCTCTGATGCTCTCTCTTTCTCTCCCCCTCAACTCTCTCTATCTCTCTCTGACTCTCTGTCTCTGTCTCTCTCTCTTCCCTTACCAACTCTCTGTCTCTCTCTCCCCCACCGACTCTCTCGTCTCTCTCTGACTCTCTCTCTCTCCCCCGACCAACTGCCTCTGTCTGCCTCTCTCTATCACTTTCTCTCTCTCTCTCTCTCCCTCACCACCCCACCCTATTCCCAGCCCCCAGCCCTCCTCATTCATTTGTGTTACATGCCTGGCCCCTGGAAGAGTGGACAAAGGTGCTTGTCAGGACATGTCACTCCTCCACAGTCACCTAGCCCTGAGTAGGTCCCTGCTCAGCAAATGCCCCAAGATATTCAGGAGCCGACACCCATCGGTGAAATGTGCAGGTGATTCTTCCTTAGTCAGAATGAGTTGTTCACACTTAAAAGTGAAAGGCCTCCTTTGAGCTCCCGGGACCTTTGTTTTTTTCAGGAATTGGTGGCTTTGTGTCTTGCAATCACCTAAGAAGCTTCGAGTATTACTCAAGCAGCGTCCTCAACCCTGATGGCTTCCTGGGCTATCCCTGTGCCTCCTACGATGAGTTTCAGGAGGTAGGTTACCCCAGGAGGCTGAGGAAGATGTTGCTGGCCCTGTTTGGGGTGTTTTTGTGTTCCTGTGGCTTAGAACAGAAGAAAGAGATGTAACTCTGCAACTAATGCAGGGAGGTAATGGAAATTCTGCACCTCACAAAGCCATCTTCCCCCAGGCAGCAGGGTGGGCTGGAGGGGGAAGGCACAGACCTGACTGTGCTGGGCCCTTACTAGGGTCCCCAGTTGTTCATTTAGAAAAATTTCCAATTTGCAAAGAAGGTGAAAGAAGAATAATGATGAATACTGTACACCTGTCACTTAGATGCACCAGTTGCTAATATTTTATATATGTGTGTGTATGTATACTTTTTCTAAATTATGTGAAAGTAAATTAAAGACATTATGACATGTTACTTATAAAAACTTTAGCCTCCATCTCTTAAAAACAAGATCCTTCTCCTATAGAATAACATTCAAGAAATGTATCTTTGATACACTAATATTTTCTAATATATAGTACATATTCAAGCTTCTCCAGTTATCCAAATAATGCCCTCTAGAGCTGTATCTGTTTGCCTGCCTTCTTTCTTTCCTTCCCTTCTTCTTCTTTTTTTTTTTTTTTTTTTTCGCATTGCAATTATTTTGTTGTCTCTTTAGTCACCTTTAGTCAAGAACAGCTTCCCATTTTTTCTTGGTCTTTGAAGACTTGCCAGTTATGAGGCTTTCAGACCAGGTATTTGGCAGGATATCTCACTCTCTGAAATTGTTTGATTTTTTAGGCGGTGCTTCAGTGAGTAATAGCAGGTCCTTCTCAGTGTATTACAACTAAAGAGATTCATTTAATGTTCACTTATTATTTGATGACATAAATTCATTCATTATTTGATGACTTAAACTTTAATTACTTGGTTAAGATGTTTAAACTCACATTTTGTCCTTTCAAAACTAATTTTAACCTTGACATTCTTGGGTTGAACTGAGGTCAAAAGGACATCGTATTTGATCTCCAAGGTCTGTGAGTGTTCAGTGAGAAGGCTTCACTGTGCTAGTTCTTGTTGGGTCATGGATAACAACATGGCCTCCAGTATTTGTCTGATTCCTACCAAATCACAAAACAGCTCTACACATCATGCATTTTGGATGTGGCATGAGGTCAAAAAGCAGAGGACAATGACACTGTGGCATAAAGCAATCAAATCCCTGATTCAAAGACAGCAAGTTGCCTCCTCTGCGCCTAATTAAAGAACTATCATTTGAGAAGCAACAAATAAGAATCAACAAGTCTGGAGAAATAATTCACATTAAAGTGAAAATGGTCCTGGACCTTCCCTTCCTCACTTCTTTTGAAATAACTTGCCATCTCTCCCACTTCTCCCTACATATATTATATTTCATACCCCATTCATATTTTAATTTTACTGCTTCCTGGATATGACTTGTTTTCCCAACTATATTCCAAGTTTTTGAGGCACTTATTTGGATACTCTGCAGGGCCTAGCACAGTTCTATGCACAATTCCAAGGGTGGAAGCATGGATGCATGGGTGCATGGGTAGATAGATGCAGGAGTGCATGAGTCAGTGGGTAGATGAGAGAATGGATGGACACATGGATGCATGGGTGCATGGGTAGATAGATGCAGGAATGGATGGATTAGTGGATAGGTATGAGAATGGATGGATGGGTAGATGAAAGGATGGATAAGGGATGGATGAGTAGATGGATGGTTGCATAGGTAAATGAAAGGTGGATGGTTGGGTGGGTGATGGGTAGATAGGTAGATAGACATAGGAAGGAAGCTGAATTGATTGACTAACAGACAAATTATGGTTTTTTTTTTCCACTAGAGTAAGTGTTTCCCTTGTCCAGCTGAAGGATGCCCCAAAATGGGGCACTATGCTGACCAATTTAAGGGGAAAACAAGTGCTGTGGAACAAACCTTTTTCCTGAACACAGGAGAGAGTGGTAACTTTACTAGTAAGTTTCCATTTTACTCACTTCAAATTCTTGCGAATAATTTTCAAAAGTGTGCCAACCTTATTAGTCAGTATCCTTGGTAACAATGGATAGAAACTTAACTACAACAAGCTTAAGTTGTAATGAAAGGACAGTGAAATGGAATTTGTGTTGGGTCTCACCCCTTTAACCAATACTCCTGACCAGCAGAGAAAAGTACAATGATTGGCCCAGGCTGGGTCACATGTTCACCCACCCCTGTTGCTGGAAGGATGCATCTATTAACAGAAGAGGGCAACGTGAAAGTCACTGTAAGTCAAGAAGTCAGTGCAGTAATGACTATCTATTATATTAGTCCTCCTACATACACACACTTTGTGGTGATGTCATTTCGCCCTGCTTCTTATTTTAAAAGTACAAGATAGTAAAATTATCAAGACTCATTTACTGTGAATAATAGCACATAATGGCTGGAAAGGAGAGCAGTTATTTTCTAAGAGAGTTTCAAATTTAAAAATTTATATCAGCACTTTACAAAACACTTTTCACATACAGTATTTCCTGTAATCCTCAAAATATTTATCATAAAAGATAAGAGTTTGGCAGAATCTATAAAATCTTATATGCACATTCCTTTAACCCAGTAACTTCACTTCTCAGAGTGTACCATAGAGAAATACTTGCGTGTGTGCATAAGATGATGTGATCAAGGATGCTCGCTCTTTATTTTTAAGAGCGAAAGATTGAGGGGAAAACCTAAATGTCCACCAGTTGTAAATGACTAAATACTATAGATTAAATACTACATGTAACCATTAAAAAGAAGGTTATACCTCTGCGTACTGAAGAGAGAAAACCTCTAAGGTGTATTAAGTAAGAAGGCAAGTGACAAAACAACATGCAACACACCCATTGTCTTCATTGGTTCAGACTGCTGTAATGTAGTACCATAGACTGGGTGGCTTATAAATAGTAGAAATGTATTTCTCACAGTTCTGGAGGATGGAAATCTGAGACCAGGGTGCCAGCATGATCAGGTTCTGCTGCACATTGCTGTCTTCTTGCTGTATACTCCCACGTGGTGGAAAGAGGAAAAGAGCACTCTCTGTGGTCTCTTTTATGAGGTTACTGATCCCATTCATGTGGGCTCTTACCCACATGAATTCAGTCCATTGTACCATGTATCAGTCAAAATACACATGTGCAGTATCAGCTGCCCTTCATTCATCCAAGAGCACATACCTTGCTGTGTTCATAAGGGACTGTGCTGAACTATAATATTTACTGACCCCTGAGTCCCTTGCTCCCACCTAGAACCTAATGTACCCTTAATTCCTGGGCCCCAGGAATTCAATTAAGTCACAGTCCTATTGCCTCTCACCCCTGGAGGATTCAGAGCTTGGAACAATAATATTTTCATAGATCATTTTTTCAATAAGATGAGTTCATTAAATGGGTTGTATTTCTTTGGACAGGTTGGAGATATAAGGTATCAGTCACACTTTCTGGAAAAGAGAAAGTGAATGGGTACATCAGGATTGCTTTGTATGGAAGTAATGAAAACTCAAAACAATATGAGATTTTCAAGTAAGTTCAATGGTAATGTGAAATGATCATACTTTCCATAATAGATTATTCAAACTTGATTGAGTATAAAGTGCTTTATAAATCTAGGCATCTATTATACAGAACCACTGAATCCTAGAATGTCAGAGCTGGAAGAAAGTCTCAATGTCTAGTTCAATTGTCCCATTTTACATATGAGAAGAGTGAGGCCCAGAGAGAGGGAACTCACTATTTAAAATGAGTCATGTGCTAACTCCTTTTGGAATGTCAGTCACCTGACTAGATTGTTTTTTCTTTTTTTGTTATTTTATTTTATTTTAGATTCAGGGGGTGCATGTGCAGATTCATTACATGGGTATATTGTGTAATGGTGAGGTTTGGACTTCTAGTGAACCTATTACCCAAACGGTGAACATTGAACCCAATGGATAAATTTTATCCCTTATCCCCATCCCAACCTCTCTCCTTTTGGAGTTCCCAGTGTCTATTCTTTCCAGTTTTATGTCCATATGTACCCATTGTTTATAAGTGAGAACATGCAGTATTTGATTTTCTGTTTATGAGTTATTTCGCTGAAGATAATGGCCTTCAGCTTCATCCATGTAGCTACAAAAGACATGATTTCATTCTTTTTTATGGCTGCATAGTATTTTATGTTGTCTATATGCCAAATTTTATTTATCCAATCAACCACTGATGGACACTTAGGTTGATTCCATGACTTTGCTATTGTGAATATTGCTGTGATCAACATACAAGTGCAGGTATTTTTCTGATAAACTATTCCTTTTCATTTGGGTAGATACCCAGTAGTGCAATTGCTGGGTCAAAATGAAGTTCTATTTTTCTATCAAGGTATTTGAGAAATCTTCATACTGTTTTCCATAGGGGTTGAGCTAACTGACATCCCTACCAACAGTGTATAAGCATTCCCTTTTCTCCATATCCTTGCCAACATCTGTTATTTTTTTTTTGACTTTTTAATAATAGTCATTCTGACTGGTATGAGATTGTATCTCACTGTGGTTTTAATTTGCATTTCTCTAATAATTAGTGATGTTGAGAATTTTTTTATATGTTTGCTTGATGTTTGTATGTCTTTTGAGAAGTTCTTTGCCCACTTTTTAATGGGGTTGTTAGTTTTTTTCTTGTTGATTTAAGTTCCTTATAGATTCTAGATATTAATCTTTTGTCAGATGCATAGTTTGTAATATTTTCTCCCACTCTGTAGGTTGTCTGTATACTCCGTTGATTGCTTCTTTTAATGTGCAGAAGATCTTTAGTTCAATTCAGTCCCATTTGTCTATTCTTGTTTTTGCTGCATTTGCTTTGAGGTCTTAGTCATAACTTCTTTCTTTCTTTCTTTCTTTCTTTTTTTTTTTTGAGATGGAGTTTCACTCTTGTTGCCCAGGCTGGAGTGCAATGGCAAGATCTCGGCTCACTGCAACTTCCGCCTCCTGGGTACAAGCAATTCTCCTGCCTCAGCCTCCCACGTAGCTGGGATTACAGGCACCTGCCACCATGCCTGGCTAATTTTTTTGTATTTTTAGCAGAGATGGGGTTTCACCATGTTGGCCAGGCTGGTCTCAAACTCCTTTCCTCAGGTGATCCACCCACCTCACCTAAGCTAATGTACAGGAGAGTTTTATCCTATGTTTTCTTCTAGAATTTTTATAGTTTCAGGTCTCACATTTAAGTCTTTCATCCATCTTGAGTTAATTTTTGCATATGGTGAAGAATAGGGGTCCAGTTTTATTCTTCTGCCTATGGCTAACCAGTTATCCTAGCACCATTTATTGAATAGGTTTATTCAATAACCCTTTCCTCGTTGTTTATTCTTGTTGACTTTGTCAAAGATCAGCTAGCTGTAGATGTATGGCTTTATTTCTGGGCTTTCTATTCTGTTCCAATGATATATGTGTCTATTTTTGTACCAGTACCATGCTGTTTGGGTTAGTGTAGCCTTGTAGTATAGTTTGAAGTCAGGTAATGTTATACCACTGGCTTTGTTCTTTTTGCTTAGATTGCTTTGGTTATTGGGGCTCTTTCTTATTCATATTCTAAAACATGAATTTTAGAATTGTTTTTTCTAATTCTGTAAAAAATGACATTGTTAATCTGATAGGAATTGTGTTGAATCTGTAGATCACTTTAATGATATTGATTCTTCCTGTCCATGAGCATGGGATGTCTTTCCATTTGTTTGTGTCATCTACAATTTCTTTCATCAGTGTGTTTATCGTGCTCCCTGTAGAGTTCATTTGCCTCCTTGGCTAAATGTATTTCTAGGTATATTTTGTGTGTATGGCCATTGTATATGAGATTGAGTTCTTGATTTGGTTCTCACCTTGAGCATTTTTGGTGTATAGAAATGCAATTGATTTTTGTGCAATAATTTGTATTCTGAAACTTTACTAAAGTGATTTATCAGGCCTAGCAGACTTTTAGGGGAATTGTTAGGATTTTCTGGATATAAAATCATGTCATCAGTAAACAGAGATAAGTAGACTTCTTCTTTTCCAATTGGATGCCTTTTATTTCTTTCTCTTGCCTGATTGCTCTGGCTAGAACTTACAGTACTGTGTTGAATAGGAGTAATGAGAGTGGACATCCTTGTCTAGTCCCAGTTCTTAGGGTGAATGCTTTCAACTTTTCTCCATTCGACATAGGGTTAGCTGTGGGATTGTCATATATGGCTTTTATTATTTTGAGGTATGTTTCTTTGATGTCTAGTTAGTTGAGGGCTTTTTATCATGAAGGGACATTAGATTTTATTAAAAGCTTTTTCTGCATCTATTGAGATTATTATATGTTTTTTGTTTTTGATTCTGTTTATATGTTGAATCACATTTGTTGATTTGCATATGTAGAACCACCCTTGCATTCCTGGAATAAAACCCACTTCATTGTGATGAATTATCTTTTTAACGTGCTGTTGGATTTGGTTTGCTTGCATTTTGTTGGGGATTTTTGTGTCTGTGTTCATCAGGGATATTGCCTATAGTTTTCTTTCTGACTTGGATTTTGTAAATATCAAAATCTCTTCAGGCAAGGCACATCTGTATGGCACATACCCAACACACACCCCATCCTCACACACATAGGTACACATATGAAGCCTGTGGCCATCTCATCCATGCTGTGTGGCCTCAGCATCTGGCTTCTGCTGGGCATGTGAGGTGCTTGGTAAATATGTGTTAGATGAATGCATAACCTGTACAATAAAGTTAGGTTCTGTTTTTGCACTAACTTTTACATAAAAATGTTTGTGTTGAATTAAATGTCCTTGACAAATTCCTGTAATACACATGAGATGCTAACAAATGGCACCTGCTGAACCACATGCATCTTTAAACATAAGACATTGCCCCAAATAGTCCTGTAACAAACTTAGAGCATTCATATGCCACCCCAAATATTCGACTTAGCTGTAGGTAAAAACTAAAACAGTGGAAATCTGGAGTCCAGTATTTTTAAAAGGTGTGTTCTGCACAAATACTTTTATGTTATGGCAGCCCCTGGATGTGTATGAAGTCATCCAAGGTGTTTGCAGAAAACCAACAACAGCAACTATTGTTTAGAGAAGTGATAGATCGCAATCATGTTATGTATTCATATATCCAGCTGATATAACATTTTATGTCTATATTTTCAGAGGATCCCTCAAACCAGATGCAAGTCACACGTGTGCTATTGATGTGGATTTTAATGTTGGAAAAATACAGAAAGTTAAATTCCTCTGGAACAAACGTGGGATAAATCTATCTGAGCCCAAACTGGGGGCTTCCCAAATCACAGTGCAAAGTGGTGAAGATGGGACTGAGTATGTATTTTTTATTGCATCTAAGTTTGGTTATTTATATTTACATATTGATCTATCTGTCTAGGCATTCATTCATCCAATTGCCCACCTACTCATCTATGTACCCATCTACTCATCCATTCATCTACCCATCTATCCATTTCTCTATCCTTTTAACCACTTAGCCACTTACCCATTCACTTATTCCTCTACCCATCCACCCAGACACCTATCTTATCATTCTTCTGGCCCTCTGGCCATTATTTGATCTTCCCTCCATCCATTCATCTTCCCAGCTGTTCATCTCAACTCTCCATCCATCCATCTGATTTACTTTGAAAAACCAAACGTTGTTTTCCTTAGGCAAAATTCAACTTGGCAGGGGCAAGGCAATGATTGTAGGCACAGATTCAAGAAACGGGCAAATATGAATGACTATTTTATCTCAAACAATAAGGAAAACACTTGGGAAGCACATAGTGGAAATCTCTGAGTTAATTCCAGTTGATGTGCAGTTATTAATGTAAACAGGTTTGTTTGGAGACTATAGCATTAGAGGGATACACACTGTGTTGGGAATCTGGCTCATAGTGGCAAGTTCTTCCATTCTGAGAGAATAGAATCCTACTTAGTAGGCATTGGGAGAGAATATAACTGTTTTTAAAATATGGAAAGAATGACACCTCAAAAGAGGATAATTCAAAAACAATGGGATATTAGAGAATAAAGGAAACATAAATGTTGACTCTCAACTGATCTTGTTTTAAGATGAGGAAGTAAGATTTGGAAAGTCAAGTAACTTGTCTAAGGTCATGTAGGGAATCTAAAGGGAAAAATATTGAACTTCAGAATGTTTTCAAAACACACACCAAGACTTAGCTCAGCTGCATGACTCAACTTTGCTGGCTGTAAAAGTGGCAATAATCCCAATTACTCAGTATATTATTGGAAGGATCAGATGTCACAGTCAGCGTGCCATCACTTTGTGTACAGTAGACCCCCTTACCTGGGGGGATGGGTGATATAATCCAAGACCCCAGTTGGATGCC
This sequence comes from Homo sapiens, assembly GCF_000001405.40. NCBI lineage: Eukaryota > Metazoa > Chordata > Mammalia > Primates > Hominidae > Homo > Homo sapiens. The sequence goes on from NW_025791790.1 coordinate 54,307, forward strand.
TCAAACCTCAAATAGTACCAATCCTACATATACTATGATTTTTTTTCCTATTCATACATACTATATGAATAGGAAATATGCTGGACAAAGGGACACTTCATGTCCTGGGTGGGACAGAGCTGAACAGAGCAAGATTTTATCATGCTACTCAGAATGATGTGTAATTTAAGCTTATGAATTGTTTGTTTCTAAAATTTCCCATTTCCTATTTTGGGACCTCAGTTGACCATGGGTAACTGAAACCATGGAAAGCAAAACTGCAGATAATGGGGGGCTACTATGCTCAGTTGTAAGGCACAACAAGGACTGGGACCCAGGTCTTCTGACAGCCCCTCCAGTGTTCTTTCCACTGTGCCCATCAACTCAGCCAGCTGGATGTGAAACTGAGAAGTCCATATGGTCTGGTAGTGCAATGCAATGTGAAAATGTCTGGATTTCTCAGTATTTAAGTGGGGGTGGAGTTCCTGTTTTAAGTACAATATAGAACACATACTGTATAATCCAAACACCAGAGTCCCCAGCCCACATGAGGGCTCTCTCACCAAGAAGCTACATTCTGAAGCTAACCCGGAGGGAAGGCCAGCTTGGCCACACTGTTCCCCTTGCATCAAAGTCACCTGCAAGGGAAGGAAGAGGCCAGAAGTGGCCAGCTTCTCATGCTTGGTGCTTGCTCCAACCTGACTTAGTTAGTTTGTCACGGTTAATAACCCTCCAGGATCTTTTTTATTTTTAAGCAATTTTATTGAACCATAATTCCCATAAAACACAATTAACCCATTTAAAGTGTGCAATTCAATGGCTTTTAGAATATTCACAGAGTTGTGCAACTATCACTACAATGTTAAAATCTTTTCATCACCTTAAAAAGAAACCCCAGACCCATTAGCCATCATCCCTCCACCCGCACATCCCTTTTTCTCAGCCCTAGGCATCCACTAATCTACTTTGCGTCTCTGTAGGTTTTCTTATTCTGGATATTTCATGTAAATGGAGTCATACAGTATATAGTCCTTCATGACTGGCTTCTTTCATTTAGCATAACGTTTTCAAGGTTCATCCACGTAGCATGTATCAGTACTGCATTGTTTTTTATTGTCAAATAATATTCTATTATACGACTATGCCACATTTTATTTATTCATTTATCAGTTGGTCATTTGGGTTGTCTCTACTTGGGGGCTATTATGAATAATGCTGCTATGAACATTATGTACAAGATTTTGTTTTCATCCTCTTGGGTATATACCTAGGAGTGGAACTGCTTGGCCATATGATAACTCTGTTTAACCTTTAGAGGAATTGCCAAACTGTTTCCAAAGTGGCTGCCACATTTTACATTTCCAGAGCAGTGTATGAGGGGCCCTCTCTGATTTTAATTTGACAGAGAAAGTCCCCTCTGTGCTGGCTGGGGCACTCTTGGTCCCTGGAACTCATTGCTAGACCCAAAGAGGCAGTCCCATCAGAGTCCCCTCAGTTTTGCAGTTTGCAAAGCTTCAGTTTGACATGGCTGATTCACTTTCCACCCATTCAGAGCCCACATGGGGAGAGGAGTGCTCTTTGAGCAGGTTTTGTTAGTAAGAATTACTTGGACTCTGCCTGGTAAAGCAGAACTTTTCGGTCAAGGGGAGCCGAATCCAGGGGGTTGCCCAAATGCTGTTTACTCACCTGAAGTCACATTTCCACAAGCAAAAGAGCCTCATGCTGACAATCTTTTCCTCCACAGGTATAATTTTTGTAGCAGCGACACTGTGGAAGAAAACGTCTTGCAATCTCTTTACCCTTGTTAAAAACGTGGTGCAGCTATTGCGGTAATAAAATCTTTAATGCACTCGGTTTGAGGGTGAGCTGTTAGTTTGACATTCTCTACTTTCTGGGTTCGCATTTCAGAAATGATTTGGGGGATTGGAGCCAAGTTTGCCACAGGTGATGCCTGGAACTTCTCACCCACTTACCTCTGCCACCATCTCTCTCTTTCCAGGCACTTTAGGTGGCCCATTCCAGCGGATTTTATTTCCTTAGACAATGAACTTCTGTCCTATTTGTAAAGGTCATTGTTGCTCTCGCTTGCTGCCCAACCAGCTTTTAACATCCTAGGGACACAAGGTAGACACCACATAAGCATTCAGAAAATACAAAGAGAAGAAAAGCAAAAAAGGAGAATGAAACAAAAATCCCGAGATATTGCCGCATTTTGTGGCAGGTGTAACTCCAAACTCTGATGATTTTGATTAAAATCCACCTGCGGCATGGAGACAGCGGGGCTTTTTTTAAAAAAAAAAAAAAAGTTAATGCATGCACATGTTACAAAATTCAAATGATACAGAAAAGTATTCTTATGAAAGGAGAATCTCTTTCCCCCTTGCCTTCAAGTCTCTCAGTTCTTCTTCCTAGAGACAACCTGGGTTTTTTCAAGAAATAGTCCATATATCCTTATGGATATATCTATTTTACACACTCAACCCTGCCACACCCTTTTTGTCTAAGCACAGATGATAGAATACTGTACACACTGTTCCACATCTTGCATTTTTCACTAACAATAAGTTGCATATTCGTCTCTAATGGTACAGGAAGAGTTTCTCCATTCTTCATATAGCTTCATAGATTCCACTGAGAGATGTACATGGTATGTATGGTTGGACTATTTTCTATTATAAATATTCATGCAATTAATATCCTTTCATGATATATTCTACATTATATAGCTGATCAATAAATATTTGGAATATGTTTATTTTGACCAATATTGCCAAATTGCTCTCTATAGCGATTGTATCAATTTATTCAACGAACAACATAGTAGGTTGAACCATAGGCAATTACAGTTTTAAAGGCCAGAAAAGCCAAATGTTGACAATTTCATGTGATTCATTCTAATATGAGAGCGTTTCACACTCTTACCAACATGGGTATTGTCAAATCTTTTGCCAATTTGATAGGTGAAAGTGTGTTTCCTTACATTGTAATTTGCTTTATTTTATTATGAGTGAGGTTTCAGTATTTAATGGGCTCTTGGTATTTCTTCCTCTGTGAATTATCCAAATTCTTTGCCAATTTTAGGCATCTTTTTAATACAGTTTTCACTTTAAACAGCTCTTTAATATTAGGAAAACTGGAATATTCCATCATATGCGAATATTTTGCTCAATCTATCCTCTACCCAGGGAGGAAAAAGAACGGCAGCAGGAGGGCCTGGGGCAGCTGCTCACAGGGCCTGTACCTGTCTGCCCTGTGCGCAGCTCATACTTAAAGGGTTCTGCAGGTCCCCATCACCCCAGTGGCTTCCCGGAGGGCTCCAACCACCTGAACTCACACTGGTCAGAGGCAGATGAGGCAGCCAGGCCTGGGTTTTCATATCTCCTTCCTGAGCCTGATACTGGCCACCAGCCTGTGTGGTCTTTTTTTGAGGCTATGCCCAGATTTGGGGGGGCCAAGGACCTCCTCAACAAAGCTGCTGGGGCCCGTGTGGAGCGCAGCCGTGGAAGCCTGGCCTCCTGACCATGCACCACTTCCCATTTGCCCCCAGCAGAACTGCCTGGGCACCCCAGAGAGTAAATGGGCTGGTGCCAGGTAGAGGGTGTTGCTTTCAGGGCCTGGGGGTTGTACTGTAGGTGCACCCGTTGCGCCAGGGTGGGGTTATTCACTGTTCAATTCTTAGAATCCTGAAATGGCTTCATCTAGCAGATTGAGAAAATGGCATCATGACAGCAGTGGCTGTTGCTTCAGGAGAATTGCACGTAATTCTTCCTTCCACTGAGATTTGGAGAATAGGGGTAAAGGAGCTCTCTCTTCCCTTTAAGGGGAGGCCTCTAATGCAAACAGAACTGAAGTCCTTGAGTTCAATGTCTTGGGATTTTTTTGTTTCCTTCGTCCTTTTTGCTTTTATTTTCTTTGTATTTTCTAAATTCTTTTTCTTAAAACCCTATACAGCATTTATTTGTTTTTATTTTTTATTTTTTTGGGGATGGAGTCTCGCTCTGTCACCCAGGCTGGAGTGCAGTGGCGCGATCTCGGCTCACTGCATGCAACCTCCGCCTCCTGGCTTCACGCGATTCTCCTGCCTGTCAGCTTCCCGAGTAGGCATCCACCACCATGCCCAGCTAATTTTTTTATTTTTAGTAGAGACAGATTTCACCATGTTGGCCAGGCTGGTCTTGAACTCCTGACCTCAAGTGATCCACCCACCTCGGCCTCCCAAACTCCTGGGATTACAGGTGTGAGCCACTGTGCCCGGCCCCTATACAGCATTTAAAATCTTAGCCTGGTGCAATGAAATAGGTCCTTGTCTGAGACCTACCAGATGTTTTAGATCTCAATAAAACTACAAACTGTAGAAGTTATCAGCCCTGGCCGTGTATTAGAATTACTGTGGAGCTTTAAAAGAAACCTGTAATCCCAGCTACTCAGGAGGCTGAGACGAGAGGATCACCTGAAGCCAGGAATTTGAGACCAGCCTGGGCAACAGAGTGAGGCCCCATCTCTTCAAAAGAAAGAAAGAAAACAAAAGCAAAAGACAATCCCATGTCCAGGATATATCCTAGACCAACCACAATTTTGGGGTGGGTCACCGGTATTCTTAAAGCTCCCTGGACGATTTACAGCCACAGTTCAGAACCACCAGGTATGATCCCATCTAAGAGGTGGTAATGACACTTTCTATCTTTACTCATATAAATCCCCATAGTGTGATATAGGGCCTAATTGCTCAGCTCTGCAGTAAAGCTGAGCTGGCCTTGCATTCATTGCGGCTTCATTTCCTTCTACCTGGACTCCCTGGGCTGGCTGCTTAACTTCTCTGACCTCAACACTTACTGGAGAATAATAGTAGCCCTGCCATACAGGGTGGCTAGTAGAATTACATAAGATAAGAAACGCAAAGCGCTTAGGACAGTGCTTGGCACATAATAAACTGTCATTAAATGAGGAAGGTTGGGAGGCTGAAGCGGCTGGATCATCTGAGGTCAGGAGTTCGAGACCTGGCCAAGACGGTGAAACCCTGTCTCTACTAAGAATACAAAGAAAAAATTAGCGGAGCATGGTGGTGCACACCTATAATCCCAGCTACTCGGGAGGCTGAGGCAGGAGAATCACTTGAACCTGGAAGGCGGAGGCTGCAGTGAGCCGAGGTCAAGCTACTGCACTCCAGCTTGGGCAGCAGAGGGAGACTCGGTCTAAAAAAAAAAAAAGAAGAAGAAAAAGAAGGAAGGGCTGGCTGGCATGAGTTATTCTTTAAGAGTAACAGATACCAATGACAAAGAGCTAAGACAGGTCGTAGCCTCAGAGAAGCAATTTTAAGTGGATGCAACTAAAGATTCGTATTCAGAATACATAAAAGGACAACCCAACAGAAAAATGGACAGAGGTCACAAACATGCAATTCACACACAGGAAAACTGAATTTAAAAAGCTTGAGATTTAACCTCACTAGTAATCAGGGGAATACAAATGAAACCAACAAAATAACATTCACACTTGTCAGATTATCCAAAATATGCCTTCATCAATGAAAAAGAATGAACTAGGATCCATATGTATCAACATGTGTAGATCCCCAAAATGTCCTGTTGAGGACAAAAGCAAGTGTCAGGAAGATATATCATTTAGATACAGAAATTATGACTTACGTACATTTCTATTTACAAAATACTATTACTCACCACCTATGTGCTACAAGATATCAAAACATGACCTACAAGGCCATTTAGAATCCTTCGTCATCCTGGGAGCGAGCATAGTACCTGATAGATAGTTTTTCAACCCTCCCCACTCTTCTCCCTCAAGTAGTCCCCAGCGTCTATTGTTTCCATTTTTGTGTCCATGCGTATTCAGCATTTAGCTCCTGCTTATAAGTGAGAACACACAGTATTTGGTTTTCTGTTTCTGTATTCGTTATCTTATTCGTTATTCGTTAGGATAATGGCCCCCAGGTGCATTGCATTCATGTTGCTTCAAAGGACATGATTTCATTCCTTTTTATGGCTGCATAGTATTCCATGGTGTATAGGTACCACATTTTCTTTATCCAGTCCACCACTGATGGACATCTAGGTTGATTCCATGTCTTTGCTATTGTGAATAGTGCAGCAATGAACATATGAGTGCATGTGTCTTTTTGGTAAAATGATTTATTTTGGGGGGGATATATACCAAATACTGGGTCAAATGGTAATTCTGTTTTAAGTTCCTAGAGGAAGCTACACACTGCTTTCCACAGTGGCTGAACTAACTTACATTCCTACCAGCAGTGTATAAGTGTTCCCTTTTCTCCACAACCTCACCAATATCTGTTGTTTTTTGACTTTTTAGTAATAGCGATTCTGACTGGTGTGAGATGGTATTTGACTGTGGTTTTTATTTGCATTTCTGTAATGATTAGTGATGGTGAGCATTTTCTCATATTTTTGTTGGCCACATATATATCTTCTTTGGAGAAGTGTCTGTTCATGTCCTTTGCCCATTTTTTAAAATGGGGTTATTTGGTTTTTGTTTGTTGAATTGTTTAGGTTACTTATAGATTCTGAATATTAGACCTTTGTCAGATACATAGTTTGTGAATATTTTCTCCATTCCATAGGTTGTCTGTTTACTCTCATGACAGTTTCTTTTACTGTACAGAAGCTCTTTAAGTTACCCACTTGTCAGTTTCTGTTTTTGTCAAAAATGCTTTTAGGGACTTAGTCATAAATTATTTGCCAAGGCCAATGCCCAGAATGGATTTCCTAGGATTTCTTCTAGAGTTTTTTTTTTAAGTTTTAGATCTTGCATTTAAGTCTTTAATCCATCTTGAGCTAATTTTTGTGTATGCTGAAAAAAGGGTGTCCAGTTTCAATCTTCTGCCTGTGGCTAGCCAGTTATCCCAGCACCATTTATTGAGTAGGGAGTTCTTTCCCTACTTCTTGTTGTTGTCAATTGTTGAAGATCAGGTGGTTGTAGGTGTGTGGCTTTATTTCTGGGTTCTCCATCTTGTTCCATTGGTCTATATGTATGTTTTTGTACCAGTACCATGCTGTTTGGGTTACTGTAGCCTTGTAGTATGGTTTGAAGTCAGGTAGTGTAATGCCTCCAGCTTTTTTCTTTTTGCCTAAGATTGCTTTGGCTCTTTAGGCCCTTTTTCGGTTCCATATAAATTTTAGAATCATTTTTTCTAATTCTTTGAAAAATGACACTGATAGTTTGATAGGAATAGCATTGAATTGTAAATTGCTTTGGACAGTATAACCATTTTAACAATATCAATTCATCCTATCCATGAGCATGGAATGTTTTTCTGTTTGTGTCATCTCTTATTTCTTTCAGCAATGTTTTGTAATTCTTGTTGTAGCTATCTTTCACCTTGTTAGTTAGCTGTATTCCTAATAACTTTATTCTTTTTCTGGCTACTGTAAATGAGATTGTGGTCTTGATTTGGCTGTCAACATGGGTGTTATTGGAGTATATAAATGCTACTGATTTTCATACATTGATTTTGTAACCTGAAACTTCACTGAAGTTGTTTATCAGTTGTAGGAGCCTTTTGGCAGGGTTTATGGGATTTTCTAGGTATAGAATCATATTGTCTGTGAAAAGAGATTGACTTCTCTTCTTATTTGTATGCCCTTTACTTCTTTCTCTTGCCTGATGGCTCTGACTAGGACTTCCCGTAATAATTGAATAGGAGTGGTGAGAGAGGGCATCCTTGGCTTTTTCCAGTTCTCAAAAGAAATGCTTCCAGTTTTTTGCCCATTCAGTATGATGTTGGCTGTGGGTTTGTCATAGGTGGCTCTTATTATTTTGAGGTATGTTCGTTTGATGCCTAATTTGTTGAGAGTTTTTAACATGAAGGGATGTTGAATTGTATCAAAAGACTTTTTCTCTGTCTATTGAGATGATCAGGTGGTTTTTGTTTTTAATTCTGTTTATGTGGATGAATCACATTTATTGGTTTACATGTGTTGAGCTAACCTTGCATGCCAGGAATAAAGCCTACTCGGTCATGGTGACTTAACTTTTTGATGTGCTGCTGGATTCAGTTTGGTAATATTTTGTTGAAGATTTTTGTGTGTATGTTCATCAGGGATATTGGCCTGATGTTTTCTTTTTTCACTGTGATCTACCAGATTTTGTATCATAATGATGCTGGCTTTATAGAATGAGTTAGGGAAGTCTCTCCTCCTTTATTTTTTGGAATAATTTCAGAAGGATTGATATTAACTCTTCTTTGTACATCTGGTAGAATTTGTCTGTGAATTCATATGGTCCTGGGCTTTTATTGGTTGGTAGGTTTTTTATTAATGATTCAATTGCAGAACTTGTTATTGGTCTATTCAAGATTTCAATCTCTTCCTGTTTCAATCTTGGGAGGCTGTGTGTGTCCAGAAATTTATCCATTCTTCTACGTTTTCTACTTTGTATGCACAGAGATGTTCATAATAGTCTCTGAGGATTTTTTTGTATTTCTGTAAGGCCATTTGTAATGTTACTTTTGTCACTTCTGATTGTGTTTATTTGGATCTTTCCCCTTTTTTCTTTATTAATCTAGTTAGCAGTCTATTGATCTTGTTCATTCTTTCAAAGAACAAACTTTTGGTTTTGTTGATCTGTTGTGTAGATTTTTGCATCTCAGTTTTGTTTAGTTCAGCTCTGATTTTGGTTATTTCTTTTCCTCTGGGAGCTTTGGAGTTGTTTTGCTTTTGTTTTTTAGTTCTTCTATGTATGGCATTAGTTTGTTAATTTGAGTTCTAACTTCTTGATGTAGTCATTTAGTGCTATAAACTTTCTTCTTAACACTGCTTTAGCTAGGTCCCAAAAATTCTGGTGTGCTATGCCTCTGTTTTCATTAGTTTCAAATGATTTTTTTTCTGCCTTAGTTTAATTTTTTACCCAGAAATCATTTAGTTGCAGTTTAACTTCCATGTAATTGTATAGTTCTAAGGGATCTTCTTGGTATTGATTTATATTTTTATTGCACTGTGGTCTGAGAGTGTGGTTGTTATGATTTTTTTTTAATTTGTTGAGACTTGCTTTATGGTTGAGCATGTGCGCAATCTTAGAATATGTGCCATGTGCTGATAAGAAGAATGCATATCCTGTTGTCAGGTAGGGTGTTCTATAGATGTCTTTTAGGTTTATTTGGTCAAGTGTTGAGTTTAAGTCCAGAATATCTTTATTAGATTTCTGCCTTGATGATCCTTCTAACGTTGTCAGTGGGATGTTGAAGTCTCCCGCTTAACTTGTGTGGTTCTCCAAATCTCTTTGTAGACCTCTAAGAACTTTTTTAAAAATGAATCTGGGTGCTTCAATGTTGGATGCGTATATATTTAGGATAGTTAAGTCTTATTGAATTGAGCCATTTATCATTATGTAATGCCCTTCTTTGTCCTTTTTGATCATTGTTGGTTTAAAACCTATTTTATCTGATATAAGAATAGCAACTCCCTTCTCTTTTTTGTTTTCCATTTGCCTGATAGATCCTTCTCTATCCCTTTCCTTTGAGCCTGTGGGTGTCATTGGTGTCATTACTTGTAAGATGGGTTTCTTGAAGACAGTTGTTGGGTCTTGCTTCTTTATCCAATTTGACATTCTATTTTTTTTTTTTTTTTTTTTTTTTTTTGAGACAGAGTCTCGCTCTGTCGCCCAGGCTGGAGTGCAGTGGTGCGATCTCAGCTCACTGCAACCTCCACCTCCTGGGTTCAAGGGATGGATTCTCCTGCCTTAGCCTCCCGAGTAGCTGGGATTACAGGCATGTGCCACCACTCCCGGCTAAATTTTTGTATTTTTAGTAGAGATGGGGTTTCACCGTGTTAGCCAGGATGATCTCGATCTCCTGATCTTGTGATCTGCCCGCCTCGGCCTCCCTAAGTGCTGGGATTACAGGCATGAGCTACCAACTCTATACCTTTTAAGTGGGGCATCTAACCCATTTATATTTAAAACCAATATTGCTATGTGAGGATTTGATCCTGTCATTGTGTTGTTAGCAGGTGGTTAGGTAGATTTGATTGTATAGTTGCTTTGTAGTGTCAATGGACTTTGTACTGAAATGTGTTTTTGTGGTGGCAGGTATTGTTCTTTCATTTCCATGTTTAGCACTCCATTTAGAACCTCTTATAAGGCAGGTAGTGGTAACGAATTCCCTTAGAATTTGTTTCTCTGAAAAGGATTTTATTTCTCCTTTTCTTATGAAGCTTAATTTGGAAGGATATGAAATTCTTGGTTGGAATTTCTTTTCTTTAAGAATGCTGAAAATTGGCCCCCAATCTCTTCTGGAGTGTAAGGTTTCTGCTAAAAGCCCCACTGTTAGCCTGATGGGATTCCCTTTATAAATGACCTGCCCCTTCTCTCTAGCTGCCTTTAGGACTTCTTCTTTCATATTGACCTTGGAGAATCTGATTACAGTATGTTTTGGGGATGGTCATCTTATATAGTATCTCACAGGGATTCTCTGAATTTCTTAAATTCACATGTAAAATATTAGGAAATTTTTCATGGACTATATCCTCAAATATATTTTTTAAGTTGTTTGCTCTCTTTCAGAAATGCCAATGAGTCATAGGTTTGCTCTCTTTACACAATCCCATATTTCTTGGAGATTTCATTCATTTTCTAAAATTCTTTTTTCCTCATTTTTGTCTGCCTGCGTTGCTTTGAAGGAGTGGTCTTCAAGTTCTTAGATTCTTTCTTCAGGTTGGTCTATTCCAATTGTTGTTAATGCTTCCAATTGTATTATGAAATTCCTGTAAATTTTCTATTTCCAGAAGTTCATTTTGGTTCTTTCTTAAAATGGTGATGTCATCTTTCAACCCTTGGATCATTTTATTGTTTTCCTTGGATTGGGTTTCAACCTTCTCTTGTGTCTCATTGAGCTTCCTTGCCATCCAGATTCTGAATTCTATGTCTGACATTTCAGCCATTTCAATCTGGTTAAGAACCATTGCTGGGGAGCTAGTGTGATCATCTGGAGGTAAGAAGATACTCTGGTTTTTAGAGTTGCCAAAGTTCTTGCACTGGTTCTTTCTGTGAGGGCTAATGTTCCTTTATCCTTTGAAGTTGCTGTCTTTTGGATGAGGCTTTTTGTTTACATGTTCTTTATTGCCCTCGAGGGTTTGACTGTCGTACAGGTTGGGTATAGTTGAATGTTTGTTTCTGGATGCTTTCAGAGGGCCAAGACTCAGCTTGACACTCCTAGGCTGCATGCTTTAACCCTGGGGAGCTGGGACTGGGCCCATAGCTTTTTCTTCTGGCCCCTTGAGGTGAAGCACCAGCTGCTTTAAGGGAACCAAGGTGCTCCCAGACTGCTGGCAACAGCACTCTGTCGGATGCTGTGGGCTAAAGTGGTCCAGGAGGGCAGCAGAGGGGCTGTGGGTAAAAGGACTCTGGTCAGGTAGCACAGGGGCTGCAGGTGAAAGCATTATGGTGGTGGCCACTGGCAAAAGTGCTCCAGTGGGATGGCTGAGGCTGCCCTGTGAGCCAGCACAGATCAGACTCACCCCACTTTGTTGGAAAAGACAGCCTTGCTCTCTCCAGGTCAGGCAGCTAACAAAGGTCAAAGCCACCAAAGGAATATAGAGAGCTTTGGGAGATGGGTGCCTATTGCCGTGTTCCATTGCACCTGACCCTGCACAAAACCACCCGGGCTCCCTGCAGATTCAAGCTCTGTCTCCACCCACTCTCTGGGCAGTTCCCCCTGCCAACTCAATTGTCTGTGGGTGTCATGATATTTTCTGCCACTAGGGTCCTGGAGGTCCGTGGTGGGAGTAGGCTGCTCTGCATTTCCTTCTCTCACCCCTTCCTTAGGAGCCCTTCAGAGCCAGGAATGAGTCCTGGTGCTCAACAACCCCATGCAGGGTTCCCAGCTTCCTCCCCCTTCAGCCCCAGTGTCTGCATCGTCTCTTTATCCACCCTCAGTGCATTCTCTCTGAAGACCTGTTCAGAGTATGCTGGTCTACCTGATATTCTGAACTCTTCCTGGCTGCACCTAGATAGCCATGTTGTCCCAAGTCCCATATTTATTTACTTCTTACAAAAGAGCTTGAAGGAAATATGATAAAGCATTCAACTTTGCTAATTACAGGTGGTTACGTGGTGTTTGGCAATGTTATTTTGTGTTATTTTAATTTTTTATACACATTTAAGAGGAGAGAGAGAAAAAGAGAAAGACTTTGACTGACTGATTCTAGGGAAGCTGAGAATTCAGAATACATAAAGAAAAGGATGAGCTGAGAGGGTTGCCCACGAGCCTAGATGGATGAGGTCTACAGCATTTTGGGATTCGGGACCTGTGGCTGGTGAAAGGTGATTTAGTGGGTTTCCATGGCTGGGCCTTTCCAAGATGGCCCTCCATCTGTATTTGGATTCATATCCTGATTTAGCTGCCACTGCTCCCAAGACACATAGCAAGTGCCTCCCTCCTCTTTCTCTTGAGGACCTATGTCTGTCACATCAAAACCCTCCATTCTCAGTTTCTGACAGTCTTGCCACCTGTCCCTAGTGTCATACTGTCATCCCTATACCAAATGGCACTACTGATAAGGACCAAAGCCAGGACCCGGGCAGCATCCTGCGGGAGCCAGCCAAGACTACATTTGTGTAGACATCTTTATTTCATAGTATTAACCTGCCCAGGCACAAACCACATAATTCCACAGAGATCTTAACTGAATCAAGATGTTAACAGTAACAAAGGTGCAATAAAAAGCCCTTCATTGAGAATCAGGCATCTTCTTCCTGTCTTGCCAGCCTCCATAGGGAGAAAAAAAATGAATACTTTACAAAGCTGTTTCATAAAATGTTATGTTAAATGAACAACAAATTACTTTTTCTTTTACTAGCTTTTAATGCTAATAGTGCCATTTATTCCTGACCTTCAGAAATATGAGATATTTTAAATGACAACATAAAAAGGGTTCTTATTTGAAAACCCAGGCTACTTTAGACTGCATATTATTACTTATAAGTATAGCACGTGCCGGCATCATTCATTTCAGCATCCCATTGATATCTAACTGGTATATATTTCAGTTGACATTTATTGTTCTCCTGCATACGTGTCAAATTCCTTAATGCTGACTCTGACAAAGGCAGAACACTTGGTAGTTATAAATTACATTTGCTACCGTATAATCAGTGTTATCTATTAGAAGGCTGTTTGTGACAAATCATGTTCAAAATAAAAATTGAATTGATTTTTCTGTTATTTTAATATTGTGCCGCTCACAGCAAGCCTTTGATTGAATCTTAAACACTTTAATGCTCTATTTTTGTTTGAGGTAGATCAGAAATGGGGTTTGTACTATTCACAAAGCTAAAACAATTTGTAACACAACAAAATCAAATTTCAAAAAGCATTTTTATTTTCAAGCCAAGGGAATAAATTTGGTAAAGCTCTCGTTACGGGGCCCACAACTTAACGACGAAAGCCACGCACGCACGTTTAATTTCTATGCATCCATTTTCATCTAAATTAGATTTTAACTTTAATGCAGGGTATGAAAAGCCTCTACAAGGCCTTTGTTTCTACCTTTTTTGTCTCAAGCAATTGCAGGCTTTCTCCCGGTGAATACAAGCTACACATCATTCTTTGTCCCCCTCCCTCTTGCCAGTTGGTCTGGGCTACCTTCTCTGTGTTCTGGATACAGAGGATCTCTGTTTCTGAGCTTCTCCGAGGGGGCGTCTCTCAAGGAGTGCCTGCTTCACCCATATTGCTTACAAAATAAATCACACAGTCCGCTGCGGTGGCTCATTCCTATAATCCCAGCACTTTGGGAGGCCAAGGCATGTGGATCACCTGAGGTCGGGAGTTCGAGACCAGCCTGGCTAACATGGTGAAACCCCCATCTCTGCTAAAAATAAAAAAATTAGCTGGGCGTGGTGGCAGGCGCCTGTAATCCCAGCTACTTGGGAGGCTGAGGCAGGAGAAGCACTTGAACCTGGGAGGTGGAAGTTGCAATGAGACGAGATTGCGCCATTGTACTCCAGCCTGGGCAACAAGACCGAAACGCTGTCTCAAAATAAATAAATAAATAAATAAATAAATAAATAAATAAATAAATAAATCACGTACAACTAGATACTGGCTAGTGTCATCCTCTTGGATTAATTTTTCGTTTAAAGGAGGGGTCCTTGAATTAAAGCCCATGGCCACCTGTTTTTGTATGACTCTCCAGCTAAGCGGTGGTTTTCACATTTTTAAATGTTCTTTAAAAATTCAAGAGATAAATAATATTTCAGGATACAAGAAAACTATATGAAACTAAAACTTCAGTTCCCCTAAATTTTTGTTGTAACACAGCCACCTATTCATTTATCTATATAAGTATGCCATATGTCTATATATATTTGTGTGTGTGTGTGTGTGTGTGTGTGTAGCTACTTTCCTGCAAAAGTGGTAGAATTGAGTAGTTGTGACAGAGACCATATGGCCCATGAAGCCTAAAATATTTACTATCTGGCCCTTTATAGAAAAAGTTTTCAAACTCTGGCTTAGAAGACAGAGTCTTAGTGATTTACGTCCTATTAAAAGGGTTGGCACCTTCAGGGCAGGAGGCTGAGGTGGCACCCAGAAAAAATGCTGCATTCATGACAATGAATCTAATAGAAAAGTTTCTTGGACACGCTGGTTAAAAGTTCCTCAAAGTGTTCATAAGTAGATAAAATGGGGGGAAAAAAGAACAACCAAGGAAAACCAAACAACCCCAACCTTTACAAAGCTGCAGATGTGAGAAATATGCATGAATTGTCAGAAGTGCCCTTAGGCAAAAAGCTTGAGAAATATTTTATGGTCAGAGCAATTGGGTTGAGTTTAAGCACATGGAAGTGGTTTCAGACAAACTGGTACTGGGCAAGGGGTTACAGCAGACAGACCCCAGACCCTAGAGTTAGGGTCTAGGATTGTGGAGGGTAGAGGCTCCCGCAGCCAGACAGAAAGACCAGGGAGAGCGGCCTCTGTGTGTACTTCAGGATAGCACCCATCAGAAATGAGGTGTAAAGGACACTGGGCTGGGTGCCTAGCTCCCCTAGACCATGGAGTGCCTGGTGCCCCTTCCTCGTGGTGCCACAGACTGGTCAAGAGAAGTGAGGGCAGGCTTAGTCTTTGGAGAATCCAGACAAATCTGGTTTGAATCTAAATATAGATGGAAGCTGGTGTATCTCCACACTCTTCTTCCCCACCTCCACATGCCCCATCAGCTGAAAATAAGAGGCTGCCAAGGAGAGGGCAGATGGATGGGGTCTGCCTGCCTGGGCAACCTCGCCTAATGATAGCTCACACTCACGGGTTGCTCACTCTAGACCTGGAACCAAGGGAAACTTTGGATTGTTTGGGGAAAGGTAATATGCTTAAGGAACCAGAGGCCATCTGGGAAAGGACTCAAGACCCTGGCTCTTGAAATTCTTGGGGTGAGACAGGGGTCAGATGAGCAAGGCCTAAGAGCAGGGCGGAGGAGCAAGGGTCTTCATCCCTAGTGAACCTTTCAGACTTCCCCTTTGTCGCTATTGCTGTCTTCTAGTGCTTTTCACTGTGGTCAACAGGAAACGGAAGGCCTGCAAGTTTTATGCCTGCAAAATGCCGTAAGCCCTTTGTGTGAGTTATTTCATTAAATCCTCCAAAATGGCCTCATGAGGAAGGTATTATCGTCATTTTATAACTGCGAAGACTGAAGCTTGGAGAAGTTAAGTTTCTTGCTCCAGATTACTCAGCAGTTACAAAGCACAGACCGGTATGAGGACCCCCAAAGCCCAGCTCTCGGCATCTTTAACCCCAGTATACTGACTCCGGCATGTTTATTATACTTTTGTGTTCCTTGCTTATCCTTTCATCTCTTTTCTAAGTTGATTCAATGTTGAAACCGTGAGCCATTTAGTAGTAGTTCATGTTACTGTGACAATGGCTACTGAAGAGATCCACAGGACGTAGCAGTCCAGGCATGAAAGTTAAGTGTGAGACCCTGGCCTCAGACTGCCTGAGTTCGATTCCTGGCTCTGCCGCTTACTGTCTGTGTGGCTCTGAGCAAATTGCTTAACCCCTTTGTGCCTCAGTGTCCCCACCTATGAAATGAAAGTGATTTATCCTGATTCAATAAGCTATTCCAGATAAAGAGCTTGAGCAGAAAAGCAAGCACTGTACTCACTGGCTGCTGCTATTGCTGTTTTCCTTGTTGGCTAATCACACCTGTGCTGCTTGCCTCACGGGAGAATCCCAGGAAGAAAACTGCTGTGGTGCGGAGGGCACTTCTTTAAGAGCCAGGAGCTCTGGATTCTGAACCCTGTTCTGCCAATAACTCACTATGTGGGCTCCGAGACGTCACTCCTAATACTCTCAGTGCATGTCAGCTACAGCAATTTTTCCAGGTCCTTTTACCCGAATGGTAAATGTAATTTATATAACAATATTTACTGAGCATGTGTGGGCCAGACTGACCACCTGCCTAATCTCTCACTCTTTATGCCTACACTACTGGGTAGACTCTTTTGTTATCTTCATTTTACAAACTAGGAATTTGATGCTAAACAGGTGATGCTGAAGAGGAATTTGATGCTAAGGAAGGTGTTCAGAGTCACAAAGCCAGGAAAAAAAAAAAAAGGCTGAATTGGGATATGAACTCAGGGAGTCTGACTGCTGTCCACAGATTTCACAGCTGTGCTTGAGCAAAGTTGTGTTAGAGCCATGATTAAGGTCCCACTTATAGCCAGCTGGCCACCACTCTGCAGGATGGGGAGTGGGGACGGAGAACCGTGGCATCCCCTCTCCACACGTGTTGTGAAGAGAACTGTCAATTCTTGGCCGGGCACGGTGGCTCACGCCTGTAATCCCAGCACTTTGGGAGGCCGAGGCAGGCGGATCACGAGGTCAGGAGATTGAGACCATCCTGGCTAACACGGTGAACCCTGTCTCTACCAAAAATACAAAAAATTAGCCGGGCGTGGTGGTGGGCACCTGTGGTCCCAGCTACTCGGGAGGCTGAGGCAGGAGAATGGTGTGAACCCGAGAGGCAAAGCTTGCAGTGAGCCGAGATTGTGCCACTGCACTCCAGCCTGGGTGACAGAGCGAGACTCCATCTCAAAAAAAAAAAAAAAAAAGAGAACTGTCAATTCTTGCACAGAAAAAGGAAGAGGTGACCCCAAAGGAGCATTTGATTGCCATGGAGGTCAAACTATCCCAACAAAAGGCCCAAGTTGGCCCAAGGAATTTTCTTATCAGGTAATGGAAATTGTTTTTAGTGGCAAGAATGAGCTCATTACAGATGCAGCTTGTGCTAATAATGATAACTTGCTGAGCAGTAAAATCACCTCTCTACCTCCCCCGCCAACAGACGACACTCCAGAAATTATAGGCTAGGGAGAAACAGAAAGGATAAAGATTAAGGAAAAGACTTGCAATGTGGAACTGCTTAAACAAAGGGAGTTACAGATTCGCACGTTGAACTCGGTGATCTTAATCATGAAGTTGTAGAATAATTAGATACTGTTAAAGAATTGTTTAAATTGCCTTTATTCAATTTTGTTACCTCTATCACTGGGTTGTTGTTTTTTCTGGTTTTGTTTCAGTTTTACAGCTCAAACCATTTTTTAAAAGTTGGTGCAAAATGAATTAGTCAATGACTTAAATATTGATGCACCATAGGATCCCCTGGATGGGAGTAAGATAAGGGCAGTCACAAGGGGTCATTTCAGTCCTCACACCCCGTTAATTTCATGGGCAAAGACCCCCAGTAACCTTGAGCCCCTAGGAGCTATCTGCAAATTGTTTGGGCCCAGGCAGACATCCATTCCTGTCTCTCATCCCTGAGAGGCCAGCACAGACGCAGCAGGCTGGGCCACCCCCCAATCCCGGCAGTGGGGAGATCTAGCTCCACGTTTCCTTTCCAAGATCGTGGGTTTTAACTCTTTCAGGTTTTCAGAACACTGGGAAAAAATCCTGACAGTTCACTGAGCTTTGCCTCAGCCCTTGGAAGGGAATCCAGCTACCTTCTATTGAGATGTGGCTTTTTTCTTTGAACATTTTTTTTTTTTTTGAGACGGAGTCTCACTCTTGTGCTCAGACTGGAGTGCCGTGGTGTGATCTTGGCTTACTGCAACCTCTGCCTCCCGGGTTCAAGAGCTCCTCCCACCTCAGCCTCCTGAGTTGCTGGGACTACAGGCATGAGCCACAACGCCCGGCTAATTTTTGTATTTTTAGTAGAGACGGGGGTTTCACCATGTTGGCCGGGCTGGTCTCAAACTCCTGACCTCAGGTGATCCACCTGCCTCAGCCTCCCAAAGTGCTGGGATTACAGGTGTGAACCACTGCACCTGACCTTTCTTTAAACATTTAATCTCTAAAATATTAAAATATCTTTTAATTCAAATAGCGATTTTTTAATGACTTTTTTTTCTTGATTATAAAAACAATACCTATTGGCTATGGAAAATTGAAAAAAGCATAAATAAACAAAAATAACCAACAGGACCATCATCCAAATGACCACTGCTAGCATTATAGGTTAGTGCCCCCCCCCACCCTTTTTTAAAAACAGAAAGCAGGATTATAGTGTGTATGAGTTTGTGTGTATGAGGGACACACACACACAGGTCTGGTGTTACTGTACAGTTTTATGACCTGCCTATTTCATGTATGGGATCCTCAGTATTTTTATACAACACCATTTTTCCATCATATCATTTAAAAATAATGAGATGTACCATAATCCTGAACCCTGTGGGGAAGGTGTTGTTATCTGGTTTTGTGTGACAATCTCCCTTTACACACATTCGTGGCTGTTTTCCTGGACAAAGGTTCTTAACCATTCTTGTGGTGGGGACCCACTGCTGTCTAGTGAAACCTGTGGGCCTCTTGTCAGAACAGTATTTCCAAATGTTTAAAGCAAAATACATAAGATTACAATGGAAACAATATTGAAATATTATCAAAATATTAAAAAGAACAAATTTATAAAACAGCCATTTCTTTATTCTTATATTGAATAACACTATGTGAGAGAGTAGATATAGTCACTGTAATAACCACCATGATTACAGAGATGAGCTTTAACATCATTCCAGCTGTTTGCAGCCAGAGCCACGTGATACAAAAACATCTGTGACTGCTCTCAGGCCAAGGTGACAGGTCCTGCAGTGGTTTGTTGCCTGCATTCATCAAGGAAGGAAATACTAAATTTCGCCTGGAGGTTAGTGAAAACAATGATGTAACTTTTTTTCTCATCAAAGTTCTCTGACCTTCTGACTTCTACCCATGGAATCATGGGAGCCCAGCATGTCCAGGTGAAAATTCTTGCCTTGGAAAAAACCTCCGAGGCCCAGCTTGCTGCCTCGTGTGGCTCTGCACATTTCTGAGTGGATGACAACGGTCTCATTGTCCCAGGAGCTGTTATTTCTTCTGCATACGGGTGGTTGCTGAGGGAGGTCAGGGTGCCTGCTGGTGGCAAGATGATGTTATCCAGTGTTACGGCTTGAACTATGTCCCTCAAAAAAAACATGAAAGTCCTAGTCCCCGTACTTTATGTGACTTATTTGGAACTAGAGTCATTGCAGGTATAATGAGTTACAATGAGGTCACAGTGAAGTAGGGCATGCTCCTGATCCAGTGCGACTGGTGTCCTTGTAAGAAGACGGCCGTGTGGCTGGGCACAGTGGCTCACACCTGTAATCCCAGCACTTTGGGAGGCCGAGGCAGGCGGATCACGAGGTCAGGAGATCAAGGCCATCCTGGCCAACACAGTGAAACCCCATCTCTACTAAAAATACAAAAAATCAGCCGGGCGTGGTGGTGGGCGCCTGTAGTCCCAGCTACTTGGGAGGCTGAGGCAGGAGAATGGCGTGAACCCAGGAAGCAGAGCTTGCAGTAAGCCAAGATCACGCCACTGCACTCCAGCCTGGGTGACAGAGCTAGATTCTGTCTCAAAAAAAAAAAAAAAAAAAAGAAGATGGCCGTGTGAAGGCAGAGAGGCACCCAGGGGGCCTGGAGTTAGTAGCAAGAAATGCCAACGTGGCTGCAAAACACAGCAAGCTAAGAATAGATGAGTAAGGATTCCCCACGGGTTTCAGAGGGAGCTGGCCCTGCTAACACCCCAGTTTTGGACTTCCAGCCTCCAGAACTGTGAGACAATAAATTTCTGTTGTCTTAAGCCACCCAGTTTGTGGGACTTTGTGGAGGCAGCCCTATCACACCAATATAGCTGGTATCTGCCAACTGGACCCTCCTGGGGACTGGGATTCTGGAAAACCAGGGCTGGGGTGGGCGTGGTGTCTGCGCCGCTGTCAGGAACATGCCAGGACCCAGGGACTGTTTGGTTAGAGGGTTGGGCTAGGTCTTCAGTGAAGATCCTGGCCTGGCTGCAGTGTTACCTCGGGGGTTAGGAACCCTAGCTCATGGTCAACATAACCTGGAGAAAACCCGCACAAGAAACTTTAGCATGCGGAGAAGCAGCCTCTTTATTCCCACATGACAAAAAACGGTCTTTATCATTAATGACATGCAACCGTCAACCACTCAGGATGCAGGCGGCAGTTAAAAAATTCTTGTTACTAAATTTCTTTATTGCTCACTGGGCGTGATTCCAACATGAGAATGGCAGGTTTTGGAAGCCCCACTTAAAGTTCACCTCCTTGGGAGACTCTGCGCTTCTAGCCTTCTGCATACTTTGCGGAGGACAGTGGCTCTAGATACATCTTCCCACTGCATGGTATACTTGGCCTCTGAGCACAGCCACATGTCAGCGGAGTTTTGGGGTCCTCTCTCAGGGGCCTTCCAAGGGCAGGGCAGCTTCCATCTAGGAGAGGAACCGTCCGTGTGAGTTGCAGGGAGCTGGCCCAGCTAAGCAGAAAGGCCACTGCAAACATTTCATCCCCTTTTTAAAACGGTAGTAGGAAGGAAAGAGACATTTCTCCTCACCTGGAATAGAAAAATCGGGATATTTTGGCAGCAGCTCTTCATGCTGCAAAACTTTTGGAGACGGAGCAGAAGTTTTTGTGGAGCTAACTCCATATATTCTAAAACAAGAATAGAAGTCACAAAGTTATGGACCTTTTATTAAGAATAGAATAATAATAAATAGAATAAAATACAATACATAAATATGAGTAAATATATGAACATGGTATGTTATTTCTTTACAATTTATTCTAAAGGTAAAGATCACCCTCCTCATTTCGCAGAAGAGAAAGCTGAGGCCACTCAGCACCCTTGGGCCTTAAGCCACTGCCAGGATGGTAGCCCTGCTGGTTTTTACTCCCATCCCCTCCCTGCAAACCAGCAAAGACCACAGGTAGAGCTGCTGGGGAATGCTGAGCACAGGTTGGGAGCAGAGGGCACCTGCCTACTGGGGAAGCCCTGAAACTACAAATGAGGCACCTTCTCTAAGACAAATCACACACAAATAGTCCTAGTGCTGGGATGGGGACATCTGGTAAACCCCCATCCTGGGTTTGCACTTCTCCCTTTGACCTTGTGCCTGGGGTACGGACCCAAGCCAGACTCACTCTTCATATGGTTTCAGATGTGCCTTCTTGGCCCTCTCCGTGATCTCCAGGAAGTCCTTGTAGCAGTTTTTGGCCATGACAGTGTATCTCGTGCCACAGCCAAATTCAGTGACCTTGGCTCTCGGCAGGTAGCCTGCCCAGCCAGGGATCGGGGGCTCCTGGAGAGGTTTCTTTACATATTTGCATTCTGTAAAAAGACACCATGGCACAGAGAAAGCAACTAAAAAATGTTTTCCACTGACCCAGAAGCTGAGGCCTGAAAACTTGTGACTTGCCTAGGGTCTCCTAGTTCTCAGACCAGCACCCTCTTCCCTAACCAGGACTGTGCCCCCTCCCCTAGAAATGTTTCTTTCTGGCCAGCCTCTGTGGCTCATGCCTGTAATCCCAGCACTTTGGGAGGCTGAGGCAGGCAGATCACCTGAGGTCAGGAATTTGAGACCACCCTCGGCAACATGGTGAAACCCCGTCTCTACTAAAAATACAAAAATTAGCCAGGCATGGTGGCATGCACCTGTAGTCTCAGCTACTTGGCTGAGGCTGAGGCTGAGGCAGGAGAATCGCTTGAACCCAGGAGGCAGAGGTTGCAGTGAGCCGAGATCACACCACTGCACTCCAGCCTAGGCAACAGAGTGAGACTCCGTCTCAAAAAAAAAAAAAAAAAGAAAAAGAAAGAAAGAAAAAGAAATGTGTCTTTCTCATTTTAAGAAATGGAGCCTTTGCATTTGGTGCTGACCCCTGGGATTTGGAACGGTGCGGGATTCTGGGTGCTATGGGGCAGCTCAGCTGGCCTATGAGAATCTGCAGGGGTGACCAGGGGTGAGGGGAAATGGTTTCAGGGCGCTGCTACCCAGGATCAGGGGGTGGTACTGCAGATTGTACTGGTGCAGGGCCTGCAGGACCGTCTCCTCGGAGTTGACAGGTTTCAGTTTCGGGGCAGTGGCCACTGCGCAGCACAATTCCCGCAGCTGTTCTTTATAGCGCTGTGTTTTCTCCTGGAAGGTTTTCACACAGTGGTTCATGTCATCCTCCTTGGACATTCCTTGGCAGCTGAGGAATGGCACAAAGCCTGCAAGAGCCGAATGGAATCACAGCCTTCAGCAAGACTGGCCAGCAAGGAATTCAGAGCCCGCCTAAACTCCCCAGCATTTCAGCCCACCCTTTGGCATTTCTTCCTCAGCCAACAGCACTACGTTTTTCCAAAGGCCATTAATACAAGCAGTGCTGTTGTTTCCACTGCGGCTGGGCCCTCCCAAGGCCACAAAAAATGACCTTGGAGCTGGGGAGGGAAGGCCCATTTCAACAAAGGCGATGACAGTAATACTCTTTGAATAGCAAAGCCCCTGATGTCAGCCTGACGGAAAATGGGGAAAGCATTTAATGGGCCAAAATGATAGTCTAAGGAGTAATTGAAATTATTCATCTTTTTAAAGAGAAAGCTTATTTTCCTCGACACTTCCCAAATGCAATTTGGGATCTTTCTTGCCGGACCATCAGGAAATTGCAGGCTTATTAAAAGTAGAGCCCTGTTACACAAAAAGGTAAATTCATTATCTGCAAGACCCACCCCTAGCACAATTTTTCACCATTTCCCACCAAGTAACATATAATCATTACAATTAGTATGGGTAAAACACAACTATTTACTTAAACTGGAGGCTGAATCCTAAGTACTATAATATTGTCACAATAAAACCATTTTTTTTTTTTTTGAAGAACAAATGAGGAAAACTGGTTAAGAACTTAGTTTCAAACTGCAAAATAAATAAATAAATCTCTCTCCTTATGGAAACCCAACATTTTTGCCATGGTCTCCAGGAAAACAAAACCTGGCTTCAGAGTTGAAAGTAGCAATCCTCACCCCCAGAGCCCTACAATAACCCCCTCTGGAAGAACCTAATTACTAAACTAATCTTGACAGTGTTGGAAGCCTTCCATGCATCGCCCAGACTCCCCAACCCTTGGATGATTAAAAGATATCCTAACATTATGAAGACCCTAGGGGCTTTGCCACAGTGGTTTCCCTGCCATCAGGGCCGACTTTGGTCTGCCTAGGTTTTATATTAGTGCATATATGCACAGACATAAGCATACGAACTACCTTTATCGAGTCTCGCTAAGGACCAAGACATTTAAAATAGGTTATGTATGCTGGCTCCTTTAATCCTCACAACAATCTTATGGTATCCCATGTAGTGGGTTGAACTGTATCCTCCAAATAGATATATGCAAGTCCTAACCCCTGGTACCTGTGAATGTGCATTTATCTACAAATAGGGACTTCTCAGATGTAATTAAGTTAAGGGCCTAAAAATGAGATCATCCCGGATTTAGGGTGGGTCCTAAATCTGATGACTGATGTCCTTATAGAGGAAAGAAGAGAGAGACTTGTGACACAGAGACAAAGGGGGAAATGCCGTGTGAGGATGAAGAGAGTGACTGGAGAGATGCTGCCACAAGCCAAGAACACTGGGGCCACCAGAAGCTGGAAGAAGCAAAGGTGGGATCCTTCCCTAGCGCCTTCAGAAAGAGCATGGCCCTGCGGGCACCTCGATTTCAGACGTCTGGCCTCAGAACTGTGAGGGAATGCATTTCCATCACTTTAAACCACATAGTTTGTGGTAATTTGTTGCAGTGGTCCTAGAAAACAAATACATCCATTTTATAGAATGTTGTACTTACCACAGAGAGGCAAGTTACTTACAGTCTCATCGACAGTGACCAAACAGAGATTCGAACCTCAGCTTGTCAGAACCCAAAGCCTATTCTCAACCAGCCATTAGGACCAGAGTGAGGTTGGGCAACCCTGGAATATCACCCAAGTACTATTCCTCCTGAGAACGGCTGTATGGGAGAGCCAAGGGTCTGTGGGGACCACTGGGTTTGTCACCCACAGGGATATGACTTAGTAAGTTCTCAGTAGCCCAGAAGCCTGAGGAGGAATAGCCTCTAGGTAGGGCAACCAATCGTCCTGGTTTGCCAAGGACTGAGGAGTTTCCCAAATGCAAGATTTTCAGTGTTAAGGAAAGTCCCAGGCAGTCCCAGGACAAAGGCAGTCCCAGGTAGACCAGGGCAGTTGGCCAGCCTTCCTTTAGGGGATGCAGGAAAGGATGGGAGCACAAGAATAACCTTTGTGGAGGACTTGAGAAAACCAACTTGGGGAGAACAGGGCCTCTACTTATTCATGTGTCTATCCTCATCACATTGTGTCTATCCTCATCACATTGTGTCTATCCTGGTCCAAATTCATTCAACAGGCATTAAGTGCTTCCTCTGCATACCAGGCCATGTTCTGGGACGTGTGGTCTAAGTTCTGCCCCTCAGAACCCGGCCATCAGCCATCTTCAGCGATGGAATGCTCTCAATGCATGTCTGAGAAGCTAGAGCGCCTAGACTGGTCCAGTTGGCTGCACAGACACAGACAGTGGGTCAAGGCAGGGACAGTGACCAGGACCCGGGTTCCCCTGCCAGGCACAGCTGCAGGGTACGTCCACACTTACCGCTATAGCCTGGTGTGATTGGCAGGTTTCTCATGAAGGTCTTGGAAGGCTCCATGATTTCGCTCTCTGTTAGTGGAGGGAAGAGGGAATGAAACGGTCTCATCAAAAGTCACTGCCTTAAGGAATTACTATTGAGTGTGCACAAGCTCTTGGGAGTGGAAGAATGACTGCCAGGAGTTGGGGCTGAGAGGCAGCACTACCACCTTACCCAAAGCCAGAGACACAGCTGGCTTCAGTCACAAACCAATGACCTATTACCAAGGGCCCATCACCTTTTATGTTAACTTGGATAACAGTGTGTAGATCACACCTACCAGGGTCTCCTCTCCCCTCCATCCGACCTCCAGCCATCCAACAATTGTGAACTGTACTCATACTATGGCTGTGAAACATGATAGAGGCTGGGAATGCAAAGCTTCTGAGCAAGCCCAGAAGCCCCTGTGTTAGGTTCATGAGCCTCAGGTGAGGAGAGAGATGAGGCCCGCACACCCCCAGACCTCCTTCTTGATCCAGGTGAAATCAGGTTGCAGTGGTGATTTTTGCCAGCCCCCACCATTACCCCTGGAACATCTGGCAATGTCCAGAGGCATATTTGGCTGTCAGAAGTGGGGGATGGGATGCTACTGAACATCCTGCAATGCTCAGAAGCCTCCCCCCACCCGCCGGCACACACATGCACACACACACACACACACACACACACACACACACACAAACAAGGGAGAAGAAATTCTGGCTTGAAGGAATCAGGAAGTCCCAAAAGGCAGACATGGAGTCCAAGGAGGGTAAGCAGAGGCCACCCTCTGCTTCAGGGGGCTCCACTGAAACATCAGTTTATGTGGATGCTGTTTCTGCAATAAGACACCTTCCCTCTTTGGGTATCGCTGGTCATTCCCCCCAAGTGGGCTGAGGCCTTGCCAAGTCCTGCCCTGCTGAGCCAGTTCATCTCTTTAAAGAAATGCCTTTGAGGCTGGAAGAAGAGGATTCAGGGTGGAGGAGAGGGCCACAGTCATGGCTTAGTCAGCAATGATGGGGATTGTTAAGACAGTTCAGCCCCCGCCAGGCTGACAGCAGTGAGGACTGTGCCGCGTCTAGGCCACTCTAACCCCTGGCATCACGTACCTGACTCCTGGGAGGAAGCACTGGGCCTGGAGTCAGACAGACCTGGCTGTGAGACCATGTCCCACCCATACTGACCACCTGCTTACTTTTCTGAAAGCTTTCCACGCTTGTTTAATCCTCTCAACAGCCCCATGATATAAATGCTATATTATACCCATTCCCCAATTTAAAAAGGCAACAGACAGGGAACACTGGCTATCCCCATGTGGTTGCAGCAGAACCGCATTCTCCTTTAATCCCCACAGCTTCCCTAAGAATGAGTTCCTGTTGGAACCCCCATTTTATAAATGTGAAAAATAAGGCACAGAGAGGTTAGGTAACTGGTTTCAGGGTTCCAGAGTGAAAGGGGGTGCGAACAGATGACCTCTAAACTCTCAGGGACAGGATATGTTGCCCAAAAGCATCAGCTGGGGTATAAGCCTGCCTGGAGGAGGTGGGCAGGGAGGAGGGTGGGAAGAAAGGCGGTGTCCTGAGAAAGGGGGCTAGGAGTGGGTAGAAAGTAGGGCCCCTCCTAGCCACCCTCTTCCAATCCCACCTCAGCGCTCACCTGGGCGGGGCTGGCGCTATCCGGTGCCCACTTGGCCTCTGCCCGGCCGCCCAGGATCCCTGCCTTCCACCAGGCCTTTGTGCGCTCACCCGGTGGAGCACAAAGGCCCCACCACCGCCAGCCTGCCCCTCCCCCACCCTTCCCGCGGTCCCACCTGGAAGGTGGGCGCTTCCCCCAGCGCCCGGCACAGCCCGGACCCCGGTGTAAAGTCGGGCATCTGCGCAGTAAACATCTGGCCTCGGAGCTGTCCTCCGCGCCTTGGCTGCCCCAGCCAGGGGAAGGATATGCGGAGGGCTCTAAGTCAAAGCGGGCGTTTTTGCGGGTGTAGACACTGCGGCGCCTGGGTCTGCAGGTCTGGCCGGGGAAGCGGGTGGGCGGGAACAGGGGGCGGGGCCGGCAGTGGGCGGGAGGAGGCGAGGCCTGGGGGCCCTGGCGCCTCCAATACAGGAGCTTCCTGGGCCTGGCAGCCCCTCCCTCCCTGTCTCCTGTTAGGAGGGGCAGATTTTCAGGTGGCCGGGACAGGTGAAGGCAGAGAGGAGTGGCTGTCCACCTGGGGAAGGTGAGTCATCCTTCTTTCTAATCACTCTTGGAGGGACACCCAGACTTCCTCTCATTGAATTGAAACCCACCAAGATGTCCGCCCTATGAACCAGCATGTGCTGGCTGCTCCCTTTACAGAAAATGACGCTGAAGCTGCGCTACTTCCAGGACACGCTTGTTTGCTGCACCTCCCGGCCTTCCCTACCTCTACTTTTCTGAAAATTGAACTGCAAATGAAGGCTGGTGGAGCCGACCACCATTTATACCTCTCTTTTATCACCCCATTTAGAACATACCTCGGGCCATCAGGAAGCTTTCAGAGCCAACTGTGGAGGGCGACTCAGGTGTAGGCTCTGGACACAGCCAGTTTCACGTGACGGCTGGGATGCCCAGGGGCAAGAGCCCAGCCAGGCCTTCTGCATGTTTTAATGACTTACACTGGGGTGCAGTGGCATTGGCAGTGGTCACTCTGCTTACCTGCCCTCCCTCTGGCTAGACCACTTTCTTCCAGAGAAAAGGGGCTCTGTGCCCATCGATGGGGCCTTGGTTCCCAGCAAACAAAGGGCCTAGTCTTGTTAGAATAACTTAAGAAAACTTACAGCACCTGGAAAAAACTGAAACTCTCTCTCCACCACCTGAGATGGGGTAGAGAGGGAGATCAGTACTGACGTGTCCATCATGCAGTTTGCAAACCCAGGATGGGGGGAAAAAAAATCTGGGCCACATGAGATTCAGAGTTTTGCTTTATTAGGCGTCTGTGAAGACAAGAGAGTTTGCAGACACAGTCCCGTCTGGTGGTGAACTGCTGCAAAGTTCTGTGAAGTTTGAATTTATCTTGTAGTGAATGAGACCCCAGTAGCTGATATTTTAGAATACTGGTCCATATTTCAAGCAGATGAGAGGTGTGGCATTATGGCCAACAACTTTTATATTAGCCATCCACTCAAGCCGTTTCCCAGCATACATATGCAGCTTAATCACAGCTATACATCTCTACAATGTGAAATTCGATCTTTGACTAATAATGCATTCTGACTCCTGTTTACATTGGTGCATGCGATTCTTTGCTACCCTGGCAATTAACCAGACCTGGACTCTAAAAGCTAAACTTGGTCTAAATAACATTCTAAGGGTAAGGCAACCTCTATAATCTGGACTCAGCCATCATTTTGCAAAAACAGTTGTATGGTTCCTCCTCTTTCCCCTCCTGTCTGTAACTTGTCTGTTACTCAGCATTTATTCATGCCTGCTGTGTACGGAAAGGGCAGTTACAAAGGAAAGCCTTGATGATTCTGCTTCCAAGAAACGTGAAGATCAGATAATATGCCAGGGACAATTGAGTAATGGGTCAAGACAACAGGCCTTGTAGGTATTTTCTAAGGTTAGAAAAATGTGTTCAAGTGTACTTATCCAGTGCTCTTATTCTAGAATATTCCAGTGGGGGTAGGGAAGGAGGGATGGATTTGGGGGTTTCATTTAAGGACTCTGACAACTGGGGCTGCAGCTCTGTGGCCAGAAGATAAAATTATCATCCTCTCCATCACCTATCTGCCAACACTGCAGATTTCTATCTGCTCATTTAAGAGAAACAGTACACAGGGAGATAGCATTAATGCAAGGCAGGAAAGGCTTTACATTAGCCCAAAAAAGAGGGGCTTGACCATGTTACTCACACTTACACTTAGCCCAGCAGAAAAGCTGGGCTTATGTACCACTTGGTTTCTTTCTTTGACCCTAGCATCCTGAAAACATCACACACAGTGGACCACGCTTTGCCCTCAGAGTGACTGCTCCGACCCGGAAGGAGAGGTCAACGACCCCTCAGGACACAAAGGGTTTCTTAGGTTGTTCTGCGCAGTCACATGGCTTCCAGAACCAGAACGTTCAGCTCTTAAAGTCTGCACAGAAGAACTGATAGAATCTGCTCCTTTCAATGGAATCTGTGACTGTTTGGGAAGGATGTGCATGGAGAAGGGTCTGATGAGGCTCCTGATCCAGGCGGTCCACGTGCGTTCAGTGTGTTTGGACCCTAGGCACCTCTGTCTATTGCTCGGTCTTGCGTACATAGTCCATAGCTTGGCATCAGCACAGATCGATGCTTAGTGAGCACAATTAAGAAACCAAACTATGGAAAATTAAGGACAGTAACAAAAGTATCATCAACAAAAATCAAGCATTTTCCTCTTTTTGAAACAAGAAAAGCGCATCGTAGAAACCAAGATTCTGTACAATATTCTAACATTATATGTACATAAAATTATATTACTCATAACTATATTGAAAAGTCTTATTTGTAGAATATGGCTGGCAACAAAGAAAGACCCATACCATTTAGCGTTTGAAGCAGGGCAGGTAGCAAGAGAACATTAGCAAAGACACCTTTGTGCCTGGATACACAATCCTGCTACTAAGTTATGTGACTAACCAGCACACTCTAAGTTCTGTGGTTTGTTCGTTGTTTCACATTCTAGTAGGGAATTCTGCAGCAGGCGATGCGAAAAAGAAGACATGGTCAAATGAAATGTGAAATGCTGTTTAAAATCTGCATATTGGCTATGATAATGGGTTTGTGAATCCAAGTTGCATTGGAAGTTCACTCATTCTCCATTCATTATGCATGCCTCCAGTGATTTAATGAATTTCAGCAGGTGGAAAAGACAGCTTTGAACAGATCAGATGGGCTGTGAGTCAGATTCTTGATTCTTTTTCCTCATTTGGCTCCTGAATGTTGCAGAAAACTGGTTTTGTACACTGGGGAAGGAGAGAGTGAAGACCCTCCAGTTGGTTCCTCAGTCAGCTCCGTTCTTGGTGTCGCTTTCTTGCAATTTTTTTCCTCCCCTGGCCCTTCCTGTGAGGGTTAAAAGGGCCATCTCCAAGCCAGGTGGAGCCCCAATCCCATTGACCAAGAGGGCAAGGTATGGGGTCACCTTCTCATGGAAGCCCTCTTCCTAAAGGAGCCCAAAGGGGACACCTGCAGAGGGCGGGCTGTGATCTGTGTGTGAACTTCAACAAAATCTCAGGTTAGTATTTCTCCAATTTCAGTTGAACCACGATGTGGTATACACTACAAATGCAGATTCTGGTGCCCCTCTCCAAGAGTCGGCCTCAGTTAAAAAGGGCTCAGATCCAGGAACCTGTTCTGAACACGCACCCAGGCAATTCTGATGCAGGCGAGCCACAGGCCCGCTGTGAAAAAAAACTGACTTAATACATCAAGTATAGATCTACAAATTATTTTTAGAGAGACTTGAAAAACTGAAGATTTTAATGAAACATTGCATAGCACAGATTCTCTTCCCAAATTTCACCAATGTATTCCTTTCAAAATGTGGAATTAAATGGCCAAAACTCTTAGGGAGATGAAGGTGAGTGGGAAGGAGGGGGTTAATTTAAAATCTGTCTGCTTTTCAAGGTGAGGGGCTCTTCTGGATGTCTGGTCTTGGTGATGCAAACAAGACCAATGGCAACCTCATTTTCTTACCCAGAATTCCTACTAAGGTTCACTAGAATTACTTATGAACTCAGAAATCAGGGCTGGGCATGCTGGGAATTTATGTCACAGCATATAATTTGGGATACGTCAGTAACTCTTCACTATCTGTTTCCATCATGGCAAGTTTTCACCTGCTAAGAATGTGAGGTATCAGCTCTCCTACTCACAAAAGCCCTAGTGGATTACCCAAGGCTACGGTTATTCTTCCCTGAACCTCCTTGCTGTTTAAATGATATGAGAATCTAAAACAGTGCCCAGTGTAGGCAGCCTTCTACCACCAGCTAAAAACATTCCCAGTTCCCACTGAATCACCACTTTTAATCACATGATGAGGAAAAGAAATTAACTGCAGATGGGTGGCATTTTATATTGATGGCCATCCAAAAAATTTAGAAAGACAAGTCTCAGATGAAGATCTCCTCCTGGTTCAAAGATCTCATTTTAAATCTAGAAAGACAGCAATAGGGCATCCTAAATTCTACATAACGGAGATCTGTTCAAAGCAGCGCAACCACTGCTGCAGAAATGTACTGATTCCCTTCTCCGTGGCCATTTCACCACTTTTGTACCTATGAAAACTAGCTGCTCCTCCAGGATCCTTTAATTTTCTATGCCTAAACCTTAATCTTAATTTCTGTTTTTCTGACTCCAGTGTGCCCTCAAAAGTCACTAATTATTTCTAGCCCTGATTGTTCTCATCTTCCCTGCTGAAATTCACATGGGCAATGGTGAGGGTCAAGGTTAGGGAAAGAACAGTCAAGGTTGAGGTCAGCAGATGCAGATAAGTTGAGTCCAAGGGGACAGGCAGCGGGGCGGGAGGGTTAGTAATTTAAGAAGTCGATCCCAACTTTGACACTCTTCGAAGTGGCTATATCAATGGCTGTGGCTTTGATCTCGGTGTCCCCGAACTGCATAAGGGTCTGGATCTCCCTCCGGGCGGGCACCGCAGTGCCACTGGTCCCTGTGAGATCCAGGCGGAGCGTGCCACACTTCTTCACCCCGGGATCAGTGATGAAGCTGACGTTGTCGTGCTCAGAGCTGTAGATGTTGATGACAATGACCAGCTGGGAGGGCTTGGCCGGGGTGTAGCTACGCTTGACCAGCTCACCCAGAGCCACAGACTGGTCGGCAGAGATGAACTTGTCAAAGACGTCGGTGCACCACCGAGTGCCATCCTTCACCAGCAGCTTCTCAGGCGGGTGCTTGCCCTCCACGTAGCGGTTCAGCACGCCTACCCCGTAGGTGAGCGGCGACCGGCGCACCTTGATGACCGCGGGGTCCAGGCCAAAGAGGACGGCACCCTTGAGGATGGTGAGGCCCACGTCCTGGGGGATGATGATCCGGCACTGGTCCCCAAAAGCAGCCTGCACCGCCTGCTGCAGCAGGGGCGCCTCGGCAAAGCCGCCCACCAGAAAGAGGAACTTGACGGTGGACACCTCGGGCTTCTGAAACAGGTCCCCTGGAAGGGAAGAGGCAGGGAGAATGTCCTGTCACCAAAAGCCAGCAAGGAAGGGGGAACTGGGCTGCCTGCATCTGTGGGGAACGGATAAAGCCACTTGGGCCACTGGGAGGGCAGGCTTACTCTGAGCTCCTTGAACAGAATCTTTGCAGAACTGGTCTTTTAAAGAAAGGGAGTTTGCACACCAATATGTTCCGGAATAAAAGCCAGAGCTGCTGCTAAGTAGAAATGCATTTTAACAGATACATGGTGATAATTTTAAGTAGAATTTGGTTTGCATAAATGAATACTCCTAAAGCTCTCCAAACCTGTGGTTCTGTTGGGTAAGTCAAGGCAGGTTGTTATAAATAGAATTCTCTGATTTTCATAAAAATCCCATTCCACTCCTAGAGAGTCTGATTTGGTAGGCGGGGGACAGGATACTGAAAGAGGTCCTGGTGAGTTTGCTATGTGTCCCTGGGTACTGCCACCAATGTAGCAGGAAAATGACATAGCCAGATTCCATTTGCTTGCAGAACTTCCTTTGATTCACACAACAGTTCCTTCTCCCCTAGCAGGGTGAGGATGTCTAACATGTCCCAGTAAAGCAAAGAATATGCATTTCCTAGGGCCTGCCACTCTCAGGTAACATTGCCTCAGAGCTTCCAGCTCTCTGATCTTTTTTGTTGTTTTAAAGTTTTGTTTGTTTATTTAATTCTTCCTCTTTGTCATTACCAGCTCTCTGACTTTTGAGGCCAAACGGAAAGCTTGGGTGAGACAAGCTCTCAGCAGCTTTGCAGTACGAGGAGAGGGATCCAGAGCCTATGCCCAGTAACCTCTCCCATACATGCCCAAGCCCTGCCCAGTCCTGCAGGGCCCTTGCCTGTGGCTCCCAGATCCAGGCCAACCTGACTCCACAGGCACCAGCTGGTGATGCTGGGAAAGCCCATCCCCTTTCTCAGCTCTGCCTCGCCGAGTGGCCGAGCCTGGCTGATACTTACGGAGATGCTCAATGATGCTATCGATGGTCGGCTTAAAAAGGGCGTTCATGGCATCTGGACTCATCCGCAGCATCCCCTGCGAGGACCACTTCACAAAATCCACACTGCAGGAGCATAGCATGGAGAAGAGCAGGCAGTGAGGGTCTACACGATACCCAGGCTTATCTGCATAGACACCTGCCCTGGCAGAACATCTGTCACTTCTTAGCAGGCAGAAAGGGGGTTGAAAGCCAAAAGCACCTTTGGAAACCCTAAACTGCCAGGACCTGGACCCTTAGAAGCTCAAAAGCTAAGACATAATCTCTTCTCTGTATCTTAAGTTTGGCTGTGACCGACCTTCCCCTGGGATAGTGGAGGCCAAAGTCTAGTGCAAAGACAAGGAGATAAAGGGCTCACTGTCTCTTTCGCAGGACCACACTTTGAACCCAACAATATTTGGATTCAAGCACGTTAAAAGCTCCCTGGCGAGTTTATTGTACTGCTACTTACGGCTACACATGTGTGCGCTCAGGTGCATGTCCTCAGCCTTCCAGGCACCTGTCAGGTGACAGAGTAAGCCTAATTCTACTAGGTGGCCCTCACGGTCTCTGTCCAGAAGCAGCAGTGTGGAGCAGAGAGTCCTGGACGGGAATCCAGGATTGTGGGGCTCTAGCCTGGCCACCACCACTGCGGAGCTCTGGGACTTTGGGCAGATTAGACTCCATTTTCTTCAAGCCCAGTCTCCACGTCTGGAAGTCAGGGATAACTGCGCTTGCCTTACCTCCTTCACGGGGGTTGTTGTAAAGACGAAGTTAAATACCATGTCTGTGAAAGCGCTCTGGAAACTTTCTGGCACTAAGCAAATGCCAGGGACTGTGTATTCCCCAAACCCACAGGGCGTGCCCCTCCTGTTCTCAGAGGCCAAGCAAATGGCGCCTCTGTCCCTGATGCAAAGTGCACACCAGCAGCTTCCCAGGAACATGTTCTAGATGCTGGACGGGAATCTAGAACATGTTGGTAAGGAATCCTTTCCATGGCGTAGGCCAAAGGACAATGTGGTGTGGTATGGAATGACCCCATGGCTGGCTGCAGCCTGTTTCTTAGTGGGAGGGTTGACAGGCCCCAGAACTGTGCAGGTAGGTCTTGGGATTCCAAACAGAGGACAGGTGCCCTCTGTGGGGGACTAACGGGGCAGAGAACATCAGCCCAGTAAGAGGGTCCAGACTGGCCCTGCTCCAAGGGCAAGAAGACCTGACATGAAATCTGCTTTCACTTCCACTAAAAGGAACCAGGGCTTCTTAGGGAAATGGCCAATTCCAGGCCTGGGGTAGGGAATGTACAAGATGAGCCAAGAGTGTCTTCACATACAAGGAGGCAAAGACACTGTCAACCACCACAAATGTCATGTCAAAGGGATTCAGAGCCAACGTGAGAAGGCTCCTACTGGCCGAGATGGGACAGTGTGGGTGTCAATAAGGATAGAATTGCCATTGTTTAAAATACATCAAATATGCTTAAATCCTCAAATTCCTAATGATACTCCCCCTCATGCCCTCACAAAAGGAAAAATTCATTAGCTACTTTGGCGGATACTAGGAAATTGATTCTTTTTTTTTTTTTAACTCATAAATGGAGGTTGAAACCCAACCTATTTATCCTGTCTTCCCTAAGTGAGCTGTAGTTCAGGGCAACCAAACCACTGAGGAGCCAAGTTTCTCTCTCTAGGAGTATTCTAGCTAAATAAATGAGGAAGGAGTGATGGACCAAGATGGTGGCCATGGAGCCACCCCTAATGCATTAGTGGACCAGGCAATAATCATCAATGGCTGCTAATATCACAAAAGGAGAGACAGGCAGACATTTCGTGTCCCCTGATGGGATGCAGTAGGAGGAACCACCACCCGTAAGGCAGATATGCCAAAGATTCAAACTTGAATCTGATTAAACCTCTAAGTCCATCTGCCAACTTGCAAAAAAAAAAAAAAAAAAAAAAAAGGCTATGGGATAGAACCTGCTGTGTAACACCACGGACGTGAGATGAGCAAAGCCCAGATGATAGGAAACTCCAATCTAAGGACAAACTACTAGTTTTGCCATCTAATAAATTGTGAAGGAAAAACCAGGAGGGGAACCTGTACATTAGTGGGACTCGAGGGGCGTATCAGATAGCTGCTATGTAGAGCCCTCATTTGGATGTTGGTACAAAGTGAAAAAAAAAAAAAAAAAGACAAATGGAAAAATGTTAATGTTAATTAGATACTTGATAATATTGAGGAATTATTAATTGTTAAGTGTTATCGTGGTATTGTGGTTGTGATTTAAAACTTGTCTCCTTTAGAGGTACATACTGAAATAGATGAGATGCTAATTTCTAAGATTTGCTTTAAAATAATTGGATTTAGACTAGCCAGGACCTGACAGTTGTTGAAGCTGGACAATGGGGTATTTTACAGGATAAATGTTTGACATGTTCCCTTACAAAAGGATTATTAGAAAAAGGTAATTATGAAATATGATAGATAGGTAAATCTGTCTGTAGTCATCATTTCATGATGGATATTATATATATAAATTTAAAATGTTTAAGAATATTAGAAATCTATTATTTTTATCTTTTTTTTTAAATTCGGCTTTAAACCGTCTTCTAAATATATTCATTTTGCAACAAGCTGAGACACAAAATCAGTCAAGGGACTCAGAGTGGCAAGAAACCTACATTCCCATTGGATTAATTCCACAAATATTTATTGAGCACCTACTGCATACCAGGTTCTCTTCTAGACACTGGGGATATGGCAGGGGCCAAAACTAAACTTCGCTGCTTTCATAGTTCCTCTGTTTTTAGCAAACACATAGATAATACTTGCCAGGTCCCAGGCATTGTTCTAAGCACCCAACATGTATGAATTCATTGCATTCTCACAACAACCCTTGGAGTTACATAGAATTATTATCCCCATTTTCCATGTGAAAAAAACTGAGGGAAGAGAAGTTGAGTCCCTTGCCCAAGGTCATACAGCAAGTGTGTAGGATTGGAACCCGAAGTCCACACTTCGCTCCTCTCTCCCATCAGCACGATCCACCCGCTAGAATGTCCAGAGCCCGAGGTGATGAGCCCAACTCACTTGCTTTTCCGCAAGGCGTGCTCCACACTGTGCCCGCGGAACTTCTTGTAGTAGTCAATGAAGGAGAAGGGCAGGGTGATGTTCAGCGGGTTAGTTCTGTCTGGGGCAGCCGCCCTTTTGCGAGACTCAAACGCAATCATTAAGTCAACCCAGGCTGCAGGGCGTTTGATTTTGAATTGTTCAATAAAATCCTCTCCAAATATTTTATACAGAAGTTTTTCGAACTCATAATCTACTCCTAAAGATCCATAGGGTCCGCCTGAATTGAGAACAAAAAGGGAGGCCATGGTGTTAAAAACCATTAGAAACCCAATCCAGACTCTGAGAAACAGGCCCACCTGTTCATCTCTGAGCCACTTAGCAATGGGACGGCAGCTATAAGTGTTTACTTACACTTCAGAACCCTGCGCTGCTTCTCATTCCATGTGGAGAAGCTTTTCCCTACAGAAATCTCTTGTCAACAATCTTTACTTTATTATTTTATTTTTGTGTTTTCTTTTTTTTGAGACAAAGTTTTCACCCTTGTTGCCCAGGCTGGAGTGCAGTGGCACAATCTTGGCTCACTGCAATCTCCGCCTCCTGGGTTGAAGTGATTCTCCTGCTTCAGCCTCCCGAGTAGCTGAGATACAGGCACGCACCACCATGCCCGGCTAATTTTTGTATTTTTAGTAGAGATGGGATTTTGCCATGTTGGCCAGGCTGGTCTCAAACTCCTGACCTCAGGTGATCCACCTGCCTTGGCCTCTCAAAGTTCTGGGATTACAGGCATGAGCCACCACTCCCAGCCAACAATCTATTTTAAATCAATTACATTTTTTAAAAAATCAATAATTTTATCTAACTAGGACCATTATGGTATTCCAATCCAAGACATCCAAGGGCGGGGGCTGGAAAATCAGCAGGCCTGGTCTAGTCCCTGTGTGATCCTCTAATTACTTATTATCCTTTCCCCTCCAACCTCCCAAAAGGGAAACAGCATGTTCTTTGGTTTAGCAATCTTTTTTTGAGAGTCTCGCTCTGTCACCCAAGTTGGAGTGCAGTGGCGCAATGTCTGCTCACTGCAACCTCTGCCTCCTGGGTTCAAGCAATTCTCCTGCCTCAGCCACCTGAGTAGCTGGGGCTACAGGTGTGCACCACCACGCCCAGCTAATTTTTGTATTTTTAGTAGAGACAGGGTTTCATCATGTTGGCCATGCTGGTCTCCAACTCCTGACCTCAAGTGATCTGCCTGCTTGGCCTCCCAAAGTGCTGGGATTACAGGCGTGAGCCACCGCACTTGGCCAATGGTTTGGCAATCTTGATCCAAGACAAGGTGAGGCCTCCCTAGAAAGTTCACCTTAGCACGGTCATGGGCAACATCAAGTTGCAATCTCATCCTTTCGGAATTTTCAGAAACCAGCGCCCTTGGCCAGGATCTGAAACAGGCTCGCTTTAGGCCAAAACCCAAGTTGTGGTGGTTTGTGTTTTAAAGAATGTTTAATTGCATTTTGCTTTCCAATTTCAAGCAGACATTAGTATCCTCCACCGCCTACGATCCCACATGTTAGTGGCATTCAAGAGAATAAAACTGAGAGTTATCTGAAACAAGTGAAAACAGAACTGCCTGGAATTGGCTCAGGAATAAGAAAATTAGCCCTGCAGGGCCTCACCTGTTGCTTTATACAGTTCCTTAAGGTGTCCCTCCGGTAACCGGATCTGATGGACTGTCAGGTCTACGGTGCCACCGCCACTGTCCACAACCACATACTTATCACCTGGCACAAAAACAGCCATCTTTTACACAGACTGTTTGCCAACCCCATCTGAAACAAGCTTGTGGGTGGTAACTAGGTAGACCCAGCTAAGTGCCCTCAAAACTTCTCATTAGCACAATGGTTTTGCTAATTAGCAGCTCTAGGAGTTAACCATGACCAAAGAGAATGCAATCTGCCCAGGAGGATGGTTAGACATGGACGATGGAGAACCCAGGTGAGTGAATCTAAGATTCACACATTGCTGCATACCTGGCACGTACTTAGTGGGCAGTTTCCTGCCACGTGAATAGTGAGTGCCCTAAAATCATCTGCGTTTCACCAAAGACTTACTCTGGAACTGATCAATTCCAATCCCTACCTGGTTTTACAACATGCAAAATTACAGCTCCCAAAAGAGCTCTCCCTGCATGAGTGGTCTTTAGAACCCACTGAGTTTGAACATTTTCCAAAAGTGCAAAAGGGACAAATGGGAATGGCTTTTCACGAGCAGCACAGGAAAATCCAGCAAGAGCAAAGGACATTGAAGGACGCTACCTTCCTCCAGCTCGGACCAGATTTCTCCTATGACATTCTCCACCAAAAAGGTCCGACTCTGCCGATTACGCCGTATGTGTTCCTTAGCTAGTGGCCGACAGAAAGAAAATGATGACGGGTAAGAAAGCATGAAAAAGCAGAGATCATTTGCAGTCAGTGAAGGCAATAGCATGAGGAGATTTAGGGATGGAACATTAGTGACATTTGACCAAAATAAGTCAATACGATGTCGGGAATCACAAAGCCAGCTCTTCCCAGAGAAAGTGATTTCCACCGGCCTTCCTCTATTCCTCGGCTTAGCCTGTGCCCAGCTGAAAAGCCCACCCTGATGAGATTCTCACAACAACCCTTGGAATTAGGTGGAATTATTATCCCCATTTTCCACGTGAAAAAAACTGAAAGAAGAGAATGTGGTCAAATGTGCGCCACTGCACTCCAACTTGGGTGACAGAGCGAGACTCTCAAATGAGACCTACCCTGGTCACATTTTTTGGAGAATGGGTTAATGAAATCGCCTAGTTTCCCGGCTTTGCTGCCCCAGGGAGGAAGCTATCTGCCAAACAGCCTGCAGTGCGCTCAGTTAAACAATTCCAAATCAAGGAATTTTGTCTGATACAAGGAATTTGGGGTGTGTTTTCCTAACATGCACCCTGGGTAAATAGACTGGGGGGGGGGGCCATTTCCTGACCCAGCTGAAGCCAATATGCATTGCGGCCACAAGGTGGCGCGTCTGGGCCTGGCAAACCCCTGTGCTGCCTTTTCCATGAACACAGGGACAACCTCCGCTCCTGCTGTGGCTTGAGGTGCTGAGTGGCGGAGACGCCTATGTGGCTATGAGAGGGCACAAATCATTGTCCCTATGTTCGGAGAAGGAAATCAGGTCAGGAAAGGTTAAGGGGCTTGCAGTTCCCACAATTTTTTTTTCTTTGAGACGGAGTCTCGCTCTGTCTCCCAGGCTGGAGTGCAGTGGTGCGATCTCGGCTCACTGCAAGCTCCGCCTCCCGGGTTCACGCCATTCTCCTGCCTCAGCCTCCCAAGTAGCTGGGACTACAGGCACCCGCCACCTCGCCCGGCTAATTTTTTTTTTTTTTTTTTTTTGTATTTTTAGTAGAGACGGGGTTTCACCGTGGTCTGGATTTCCTGACCTCGTGATCCGCCTGCCTCGGCCTCCCAAAGTGCTGGGATTACAGGTGTAAGCCACCACGCCCGGCCCCACAATTCTTTTCTTGCAGCCTGAAATTAACCCTTAGACCTTAGGCCCTCGTGCCTTTGAGATTTAACAACAGTGCCCGGCGCCACCCCCATAGTGCTCTCACTTAGCGCTCATATTGGTGCCTTGACCCTGACAGGGCGTGTCTGCAAACCCTATAGCCCTCGACACACCCACAGAGCCCTGGATACCAGGGAACCAAGTTCTGTGACCAAGGCTATGACCTACTTGCATTCAGGTAATTATTAAAGAGGAAAAGCTTTTTAAAATCGCCATCCTCAGTCTCCCTAAGGCGGTGCTCCTTCCCACAGCTAAGCGAGCGTCACCTAGGTCAGGAAAAGTCAGCCGGTTTCATCTGCATTTTAAACTCATCGCACATGAAGCAGACCCAATGAGTGACTCAGCAATAAATCAACAGTCTTAATGGAGAATTAATAACAGGCAATGGAATTAGATTAAGAATCTGTTAATACACAAGAAAGATTAAGAGCCTAGTACAATGTGAGGCCAATAACCGCTCTCAGGCTACCCTCAGATTCTTAGAGAGAAGCTCCCCGCCCCCAGACACTTGGTGGGTGATGAACCAGGGTAACCATGCCTCCATTTATGGGGGTCCTTGGAGGGGCCAGGTAGGGGGGCTGAGCAGAGAGGTGCTTAAAGCCCACCTCCTCCCGGAGTATCCTGATTCTTCATTATGGCACTAAGTGCCTTTAAAATCATCAGAGGGAGAGAGACATCCAGGGCTTGGGAAGGAAGGAGAGCAGGAGGGGGAGAGAGAGAGCAGAGGTACCCTGTGTAAACCCAGCTCCTACTGTGTCACTGCCGCTGTACCCATTGACGGCTGCCTTGCTGCTCAGCTCAATCATCTGGTGTAGCCGCAGCTTTCGGCAGTAGATAGAGGCTGCCTCAGGCTCCAAGGCAATGATGAGCTGCTCCGAGTTCTCGGGGGAGGCCAGGCCTGCCTGGAAGACAGAAACAGAGGCTGGGACCCAGGGCCCCCTGGGCCGGCCTGCTCCTAGGACACCCGTGCCTGGACTGACATCCCTAAGGAGGGCGCACTCGTGCTCTGCATCTGTGGGACATTCTCTACACAGTCCTCTGCAGAGCATAATGTCAGGGTGCCTCGGTACTGGGCCCCAAGCCAGATACCCAAACACCCCAGGGTGGCCAAAGAAAATGTATAGGCACCCTGGGGAAAACACCAGGTGCTCTGGCTGTGGGGCCTCTTGCACTTGGGGCCTCCTTGGCTCAGAGCTGAGCAGCACCATGGGGAGGAGCGGGGGGATTCCGGACTGCAGGAGGCACACGGGCTTCCATGCTCCAGTGGTGAAGGCATGGAGTTGCAGAGACCCTGAAACTTTCCAAACCATCACAGGGTGGAAGGCAGGTGATCTGTTCTCAGTTGTAATATACCACACGGTCTGACCAAATCGGAGCAAACCCCTATCTTTGGTGGCCTTGGAAACAGACCATGGCTGGGCCTCAGCAACACAAGCATTTGACTTTGCTATCTGGGTAACCGACCTGTTATCTCCAGAGCGCTAGGAGGGTTCCTGAGATTTGCCTACTGGGGGTGACAGATAAGCAGTGGCTCCAGGAGGAAGCCCCTCCTGGAATCCCATATAGTCCCTCATTTTCTAGAGTGCGGTTGAGTCAGCAAGAAGATATCTTATTCAAAGCCTCCACCCTTTAATAGTTTTATTATAGACATATATCACATATAGTAATAAATATTCCTTTAACAATCTGATCCCCAAGTTCTCATCTGTGGCTTCCATCTGCAAACATTTGGGGCCTTGGCCTGTAGTAGGCAGAAGTGCTTCTGCTCTGTGACATCTGACCAGTCCCAGTCACCACTCCTGTGGGCCTTCAGAAGGGCCAGCTCAAGAGGCCCTGGGACAACCCTTCTGAGGATGCTCAGAGAAACAGCATGGCTGGGCCTCTAACCAGGTCCCTGGCACCTCTCATGGCCTTGAGCTGCAGCGGGAGGCCCCACTTGCTTCTGGAAACCATTCAGGTACACGGGTGTCCTCAGTTGCCAGCCCGATGGACCACGGAAGAACACTTCATCCCTGCCACTGCCGTGGTGCTGACTTTTTGCCATTTCTTAGGAACCTTGGGATGCTGCCTTCATACCATGCCTACTGGGAGGAAGGCCTCAAGTTCTGTATCAGACCCCTGGGGTTTAGTGCATTCTTCTTGCAGACCAGGTTCAGAAGGTCTCCTAATGTCACACACTCACAAATAACTTCTCATCAGGCGAAGTCGGCCTCATCATGGGCAGAGGGGCTTGGGAGGTCCAATTACTGGGCAAGGAGGGAAGGGGATTTTCAGGTATTAAGAATGCAAAGTGGCCAGGCGTGGTGGCTCACACCTATAATCCCAGCACTTTGGGAGGCTGAGGCGGGCAGATCACCTGAGGTCTGGAGTTCGAGACCAGCCTGGCCAAGATGGTGAAACCCCGTCTCTACTAAAAAAAAAAAATAGCTGGGCATGGTGGGGGCAGTGCCTGTAATCCCAGCTACTCGGGAGGCTGAGGCAGGAGAAATGCTTGAACTTGGGAGGTGGAGGTTGCAGTGAGCCGAGATGGTGCCATTGTACCCCAGCCTGGGTGACAAGAGTGAAACTCCATCTCAAGAAAAAAAAAAAAAAAAGAATGCAAAGGACCTTCAGAGCTATTTATCAACTCCTTCACTTTATGTAGAAAGAGAGGGAGGGTGGCCCACTGTCCCAGTTTGCTCAGGATAGAGAGATTTCCTGGGATGTGAGACTTTCAGTGCTAAAACTGATACTACCAGCAGGCAGGTGACTGAACATCTTCACTCTGTAAATACCAAATGCCTCAAAATGGCAGAACCACATCTGGAAGGCTGACTTTATAAAACCAGATAAGAACCACCACTCTCGTGTCCTGCACTGTCCGTGGCGAACCCTCTTCCCATCACCTAGTACCCTCAGCTACGGCCAACCACCCGGGCAGCATCAATGCCTGTCAGCTCAGCCCATGGGTCAGAGAAGCTGGGTCTGCCCTTAGGTGACATCGGTCAACAGGGCCCTGACTCAGGTGCATGACAGGATTTCCCACTGCCCCCTATTCAAGCAAGTAAAAGTCCCCCCTCCCCAGCTTCACTCTCACAGGGTCACATTAGACATCCTTAGCACAAACATGGCTGGAGGTTAAAGTGAAAGAGGATGTGGCTCTCACACGTATGGTGCCCTCGGGAAAGGTGAAACCTCTGAGCCTGGATCCCAAGGGGTCGGGAGGAAGAAATCCCAAATAAGACCAAGAGGGGCCCCTTCCGAGGGACAGCTCCTGTGCTGATTCTTCCATCCTTGAGGTTGTGGAGTCAAGGACCTCCCAGGAGCATAGAAGGTCCAAGGGGGAAGCTTCCACAAAACGGGGTGAGGAAGAAGGGACAACTTGCTGCAAAGAAACTGCCAGGCCTGTATGTATACAATTCTCCTCCAAAGT
Organism: Homo sapiens; assembly: GCF_000001405.40. NCBI lineage: Eukaryota > Metazoa > Chordata > Mammalia > Primates > Hominidae > Homo > Homo sapiens. Next base: position 97,469 of record NW_025791790.1, read on the forward strand.
TCAAACTTGAAAATAAACTGGGGATGGCAGTAGACCCATGAGTGGAGCCCAAGGAGTTGGTGTGAAGGAAGAAAGGCAAAGACCCAGACGCTACATTACGGTTACCATGTCCCACTGGGATGTCAGCCTGCCAGGTGGGACTTGTGGCAGTGAGGCCCCCACAGGGCCAGAAAAAGCAAGGTGGGCCTGGGCCACGGCAGCAGGGACAGGGATGGGAAGGGAGAAAGGGTGGCATAAGCTCCGCCCCTTGTCCCCTCTTCCCACACTGTAAGTCCCACTCCTCATCCCTCTTCCCACACCATAAGTTCCACCCCTCATCCCTCTTCCCACACCATAAGCTCCACCCCCACCCCTTCCCAAACCATAAGCTCCACCCCTCATCCCTCTTCCCACACCATAAGCTCCGCCCCTCATCCCTCTTCCCACACTGTAAGCTCTGCCCCCATCTCTCTACCCACACTACCCCTGAAATTCTGAGCAGGAACTCTGACTTAGATGGGAAATCTTTATATGGAAATTCAGATCCAGCAGTCTAGAGGGGTGAAGAGCCCTGGGTAAAATTCTACAACTCGAGGGCATCCGAGTGTGCCTGGTGTGCAACTGAAAATCCAGCAGAACTGTCCCCCGCCCAGGACACTCTCACATCCTGAAGACACTGAGGCTGCCCCAAGTCTGTGGAAAACAGCTTGGGCTGGCCACTCAGGGGAGACCTTTCATCTGTCCCTCTCCAGCTGGGCTGGCCTCAGCTCCACAGCAAAAGCTTTGGCCTGTTTCCATAGGGGGTTCCCCACTGTACCAAGATGAGGATGCAGGTGGGAAGCGAAGGTGAAGAGGACCCCACTCCTGAGCAGAGGAAAAGGCAAGGTCATGGGCCCAGGCAGTGTCTGGGAGGCCTCGGACAAAGTAACCACACTTCTTTGCTTGAACCAGCTCCTGTCCAGTGAGGGGCCGTGTCCTACCTGCAAACTCCCATGGAAGCCACAGTAGAGAGCTGAGGAGAGGTGAGAAGAGGCAGCGGACTCTGCACAAATTCAACCTCCCCAGGAGTCCCAGAACTGCTGTGGACTCCGAGAAAAGGAGGAAATGCTAAAGTATCGCCCAGGCTCTCAAAAACCCAGCTGTCTTTCTCTCTGGGCAGGAGGACTCAATGCTTTCAAGTGCAAGCTTTGTTTCTGCATTAACACTTGCAGCCACCCTCAACAGAAGCCCTCCACTTGGCAGCCCTCAGCAAACCTATGGGTCTGTTTGCCTGGGATCAGGCCAGGGTCAACTGCAACCACAGAACACTCTCCGTCTTTGCTAATTCTGCCTTCAGAGAAGGTGCCTCATGGTTACTACTCCCACGTGAGCCCTCCCTCCACTGGGGCCCCTGCCAAGCACTTAACATATTCCGTCTCCAGTCCTATACGCCAAGCTTGTCCAACCCATGGCCCACAGGCCACATTGTGGCCCAGGACGACTTTGGATGCAGCCCAACACAAATTTGTAAACTTTCTTAAAACATGATGAGTTTTTTTTTGCGATTTTTTTTTTAGCTCATCAGCTATCATTAGTGTTAGTGTATTTAATGTGTGACCCAGGACAATCCTTCTTCTTCCAATGTGGCCCACGGAAGCCAAAAGATTGGACACCCCTGTTATTAACGGTGCAGACATGTGTAGCCTCTCCTGCAGGATGGTGGATTTTCTAACAGCAACGCTCAGTTCTTCTTGCCCCAAAGCACACAGTAGGTGTTCAGGAGGTAGCTGCTGAACGAATGGACCCACCAGCCCTCCAGCCAGCCTTTTTTCCTGCAGTTTCCTGGCCCTCATCCCTGCATTCCACAGACATGACCTGGGGATTCTACATACAGGAAGTATCTGAACCAAGAGCATGCTTCCCCATTTGCCTCCTCCAAGAATTCGGGGCAGCAGGAGCGACATCGTAGTAGCTTTTTAGAGCCTTCCTCTGTGATCACGAGTTTCACTCAGGAGAAGCAGGTGAGAAAACCACACTCCAGGGAGACTGAGAAGCTGAGGAGGTGGTGTTTACACCAACTACTCTGCTCCTCTGCCTTGCAGTCAGCCAGGAGAATCTGCCAAGGGACTGTGTCCACAGCTGAGAAAAAATAGCCAGATCAGTTAAGAGCGCTGCTGGTCTGCGGTCAGGCTACAGAAAGGCTACAGCTGCACCAGTTCGGGGTGTTATGCTGTTTTGTTTTCCTGATGATCATTTCTCACTGCAGCTTGTTCAGAAAGGGAGGCAGAAGAAGCTGCGTCTCCATGTTAGATGAGAGGATCATACATATGGGAGCAGCATTTATTTAACACGTTTCCGGAGCCTACTAGAGTTACACATTTTAGGCAAAATGCCCTTTGATATAAACTGGACTATTTCCTATCCACAATCCCCACAGCTTCAGAACAGTCTCCAGTTCTAAGTCTTTTCTAAAGGCCTCAGAAGAGGGATCAGCTGTTCTTTCTGTTATCATCTTTTCACTGAATGCTCTTAAAGGGTCTAAAGATGGCTTGAGTCTGTGAATTACAAAAGATAAAGGTTTAACCCATCTTTTCAACAAGCACTCAACTCAAGGCGAGTTTCTGGAGTTTCACCGATGAAACTGCATCTGTGCACCCTCTCTGCAGCCTTTACGGGCAGTGAGCCATAGCCTGCCCCAGCAGAGGCTCCAGAACTCCAGACCTGCTCCTCACAACATCATCTCCCAGCTCTGCTTCCAGGCTGCTTTCTCCTCCACCTGGCAGGTGGGAGGTTCAAGTTCAGCCCCCACCACTGCCCAGAAACCTGTGCTCAGGAGGCCTTTGATAAGCCTGAAAGGAGGGGCTCCATTTTCCCCACACAAGCAGAGTAGACGTGACCAGTTCTCCAACTGTCCTACTGGAGTAGCCACTCTACCTCATCCTTCCAGCTCTCCTGCCTGAAGTTGGGCCCATGGGATGGGATGCACTTTGGGTAGAAGGGTCAGTGGGCAGCCACCGCCTTGCAGAAGGAGACAGATGACCACCTGATTTAATACCTTTCACATACATGGGTGCCTGGTGAGCACTCGCAGAAGCTGCTAGGCTGAGAACTATGTTCTGTGCTCAGACACTGTATTAGTCAGGGTTCTCCAGAGAAACAGAAGCAGTAGGGCATACAGACACACAGACAGACAGACAGACAGACAGACAGATAGATAATTATAAGGATTTGGCTTATGCAGTTATAGAGGCTGAGAAGTTCCAAGATCTGCAGCCAGCAAGCTGGAGACCCAGGAGAACCCACGGTACAGGTTGGCAGGCTCGAGACCCTGGGACAGTCAATGTTTAAGTTTGAGTCCAAAGGCAGGGGAAAAAAAAAAAAAAAAACAATGACCCAGCTCAAAGGCAGTCATGCAGGAGGAACTCCCGCTTACTCGGGAGGGTCAGCGTTTTGCTCTATTCAGGCCTTCAACTGATTAGATGAGGCCCACCTTCCTCAAGGAGGGCCATTGCTTTGCTCAGTTTATTGATTTAAATGTTGAACTTTATCACAGGAACACTCAGGATAATGACTGACTAAATATCTGGCATCCTGTGGCCTAGTCAAGTTGACATATAAAATTAATCATCACAGGTACATATCTTTCTTATTCTGTATAATAATGGGGGATGGAGAGAGAGTAGAAAGATGTTAATTTTGCTCATAGAGTTGCAAATTTCACTTCCACTTTGTCCTAAGACTCTCCAGAAGACAGGCTAAAGAGACTACAGCAAAGTCTGCAGAGCAACTGTGCCTCCCAATACACCCCTCTCCCTAACCCAAAAGTATGCAAGGCTTCAGTGAACCATTTGGCTGGGAGCAACCCAGGGGCCAGATCCCTGCCTTGGTTGGGTATAGAATCCAGTGCCTACCACGGTCCTGACAGAGAGATAGGCCTCTAGTTTAGGTTTGTTTAATGAATAAATAAATGCATGAACAAAAAAAGCAATTGAATGATCGCCGCCCTCTTTAAATCCACTCAGCGGCTGTCAATGGAACAAAGCAAGTATCAAATCAGAACTGCAAAGGATCAAAAACGAAGCTGCAAAAACACTGTACCAAAGTTAGCCAGCATCGAGGAAACAGCATGTCTCTGGACTTCCGAAAGCAAATTCCCCACATTCATAAACACAGCTCACATCTGTCCTCACCCAAGAGCTGCAGGCCTTTTTCTCTCTGGGGTACCTATTTGATTCCAACAACCCCCAGGGATTTGGTGCCCTCCACTGTGACTCCCCAGTGTGAGGGCCCCACACCTCTTGTCCCACCTCCTAGAAGAGCCAGCCCAGGGCTCAAACTCCCCTGACAGATTCACCAGCCACTGCACCTCTCTTTTTTTTTTTCAGGCTATAAATAAGAATTGACCTTTTCGTGGGTCACACATTTGTTGCTGAAGTCTTCCTGTGGGGCTGGGAAAAGAGTCAAAACCATGAATCTTGAATATTCTTCCTGGGAAAAACTCAGAACGCCAGGTGGCGTCTCTGCAGACAGCTGTGTCCCGATGCCCCATTTCTGGGCCCTGCCGGAAGGCTGACACTATGGAGCTTGTGCTCCGTGATGCCCAGGGCTTCTGTGAATGGCTAAACTGCATTTTGTAATTCTCTTTTTAAAGAGCTTGCCTCTTTCTGGAGCTTCCACCCTCTTCCTTCATCCCTATAAAAACAGATCTATTTTTGGCAGGTACATACACTGAGCCAGATTCTCACACTGCAAGGAGGCAGGGGAGTGCAGGGGAAGCAGCCTGGGGAAGGGGAGAGAGTGCAGGGAGGAGACGACTCGCCCTTGACTGCACGCAAGTTGAACTGTGTGCTACTTGGAGTCAAGCCTTCCGAGTGAGCGCTGAAAACAATTCATGGTGCTGAGGTTCCCATGGCCATTCAACTATGCTGGGGCTCAGGGTTGACTCTGTGGGTTTTTTGTAAAGAAAGTGTCACAAACAAAATCAGAGGTACGTCTCCTGGGAAAGGTGGGCAGGATGCTTCCTGAGAGTCATGACAGTGGGGAGGGGACATCTAATGACTCTGGTGACTTGCCACACAACCCAGCCTCAGCTGAAGACTCACAAAACTGACTCTCAATACACAGAGAGCTGACCCAGGCCCCAGGCGTGGGTGTTCATACGCCCAGGGGCTTAAGTGCAACAGGAGCCAGCTCTGTCCTGTCCCTGGGACCATAACAACAGGTGAGCATGGCTCGCCATTCCTGCCTGGAAGCCAGATCCTCACAGCAGCCGCCCCTAGTGCCCACAGGGATGGGCTGGCCACTGGCACTGGAGCATCTGTCTCCCTGGCCAACAAGCGCCTGTGCCTGGTATGCCCCTTGGCCATGCCACTGCCCTCTGCAGGGGTCTGCCACCTCCAACACCCCCCCGCTGAGTGAAGTGTGCAGGGAACAATCACACTTCCCTTCTTTTCTGCGGCAGACATGCAGTTTTCAGCCTCCACACCAAGCTGAAAATGCCTGGTTCGTGGCCAATGGCCTTGGCTTGCTTGCTTTCTTGTTCAAATATTCCTGTTTCCCAAGCCTTTCCCTTAAGGTTCTCACTTCATTTCACCCACAGAGAAATGTCTCTGAACCACAGCTTTGAAATCCTAGCCCTGGAGACTCCGCAGTAGAAACATGACCTGGAAATGTAGAAAGCCAGGAAGGAAACCGAACCCAGCTCTTGTTGTGGGACTGACCCCCATGGCTCCCCCAGGAGGAAGCTGAGGAAAGGGATGGCTCCTTGTCTCCCAGCTCCCACCCTGGCTAGGGGAGCCTCCTTGCTGCCTCCCATGGAGGCCAGTGAATGTGGGAGGTACCTGGGCGGGGCTACAGTCACCACCCTGGACATCTTGAGTCCTTCTCCTCCGGCTTCCACCCGCCCTGACTCTACCCTCACCTGGTAGGCAGCTTGTCTCATGAACTGCTTGGCCGGCTGCTTCCAGATGGCAGGCACCGTGATGACCCATCTGACATCAGAGTTCTCGAACTCCGAACCCGCCTGGTCACTCAGCTCCTGAAGCCAAGGGAAAGAAATGCAACAGGTCAAGTGGCAGCTGGTTCCTGGAGCAGCCTCCTGTGGCTTCACTGAACCCAGGCTTCCTGCCATGAGCTCTTCAGGAGCCAGTTTCAGGGTCCCCCAAACTTACCAGCATCAGAGAGCAAAGATCTGTTTCCTGAATATTCTGCAAGCCGGGAGCTCTAGCCCCTTTCCCTCACTGAATGGGACCGTGGGCTGGAGAAAGGAGGATCAGAGGAAATCCCTTTGGCCACTTCCTAATCATGTGACTTTGGACAACTGACAACCTCTTAGGCCTCAGTTTCCATATCTGTGCAGTGGGGATTATAATGCCAAGCTCCAACGATTGTTGAGAGGATTGATGATTTATGGAGAGCTACATTTACTGAGTGCTTATCACGTATCTGCCACCTTATTAAGCACTTTGCATACCTTGTCTCTATTCATCCAGTCAAGAATCCTGTTAGGAAGGGAGTCTCACTGCGCCCCTTTCCTACAAATGGGAATACTGAGACTTTGATATGCTCAGTACCTTTTTGACCACTGTGCAGTTAGAAAGTAGCAGAGCCAAAATTTAGACCCAAAGCCTAGTCTATCTTGACTCAGCAAAGGTCTGAGTTGTTACACGTGGTCCCATAGGTAAACAGTGCCTGGCCCACAGTGATGCTTACCAGCCGGTGGCAGCTGTCATCATTGTCATCTACCTTATGCAAGGCCAGCATTATCAGGGGCATTTTCCCAACAGGAAGGGAAGGCTATGAATGATATGACCTCATCAAGAACCATGCGGCCCTTAACTTTTGGTTAAGGTTAAACGACATCACTGAGGCCCATGTTGATAAAGGGGCTGGGCAGAAGCATCAGAGGTTTCCACCTGGTTCACGGGGACAAAATATGTCGCTGGAGGACTTCTTAGACTCAGTATTCCCATCTGCGCAATGGAGATCATAAAACTAACTCACAGCATTGCTGGCGAGATTAAATGAAAACACATGAGGGAATGCTGGCCCAAAGACCTCTGATAAATGCCAGTTCTTTCCTTCCTTTCTCTTCCCCTTGCCACGTTCACCAGACAAATCTGTAATCAAACCGAAACACACACCAAGGCACTTCTGTGTCTAAATCAGCTCTGGAGAGACAAGAAAGATTAATAGACTGATGAAAAAACAAACAAACAAAATTGCTGACACTGTCTCATTTTTCCTATTGTTTCAAACAGTTATCTTGGGTCTGGCCCACCCTCTCTCTCTCTGAACTAACTTCCTCTTTGATCAGCAAATGATTTTTTTTTGCCTTTTTCTAAAAATTTTTAATAAAAATGTTTCATGGTAAAAATGTACACACCCTAAAATTCATCACCTTAACCATTTTTAAGTGCACAGTTAAGTACATTCAGTAAACTATTTTAAAACATCTTTCTAAAAACATCTCTGCTGTGGACCAACACAAAGCAGCCATTTTTTTATCATCATATTTTGTTTCCTTGCAGGTCTGCATTGGGTTTGAAAAAGCAGGTGAGGGTATGATGTGTGTTGGGAAGATTCTAAGCATGGCACCCATTACCAGGCAGGTGATTTTAAACTCTTTAAAAGGAAAAGGGTTCAAAATACACATGAGGGGCTTCCTTGAGCTGTCTGGAGAGTTTAGAGGAGCTGTCAGTTCCCCAGCGGGTAGGGAACAGCTTGGAAGGGAAAGGCGCCAGCATTAATTAATTGACCATCTCATGTGTCAGGCACTGTCACGGGCTTTCCTTCATGACCCACTGGGTGGCTTCATTTCTGTGACTCTTGGACGTCCCACTTGAGTAGGTATCCTGCCTTTGCTTATTCCAGCCAAGCAAGCCATAACCCCCTCCCTCCAACTCCAGCCAGCCCCTGGCAAGGTCTAGCTCCTCCTATACATCAAACAGCTTTTTCTCCTGGAATTTATTCACGGCATATTCCCTGCTGGGAGGAGCTACCTTTGAAAGAAAGGTGCCAGCAAGTTCCCTGGAGTCTCTCTGGCTGAGCTGAGGAATTCACAAACAACCACCCACATGGCCACTTGACCTTCTGGGGCCGTTCCCTCCACCTCCTCCCTCCCCTTCTGAGATGGGCTGCTCACTCCTTTCCTGTTGGCAAATTTGAAACGCACCAACATCCTGGGCTTTCTGAGTCCTAAATTTTGCCCCCGAGCCCCTACGGCTCCTCCTCCTAACTCAGGAGCCCCTGTGCGCTCTGCACTCTCTGCTCCTTCACCTGCCTCGGTGCCCACAGACACATCCTCACGTGGCCTCCTGGGCCACCAGGCGCTGAGCCTGTCCCTCTGCAACCTTTGCTCTTCCAGCAGACCTGGGTCCACCTCGTTGTGCCCCTCCCCTTCTGCCCTTTTGCCGCCTGGAACAAAGGGGCTGACCCCTTCTCCAGTTCCAAGCAGGCTTCACAACGCTTGTCTCTGACTGTGGTCACCTTCCCGAACACCACCCAGTCCCCTCCCTTCCCTCTCCCATGCCTCAACCCCCACCCCACAGTGACCTTGCTGCCAGGCCTCCCCTGTCCCCTTGTCCCCTTACTGGTGGAATACTGTTTGCCCAGAACCCACTCCTTCCCAGCCCACGGGCCCTCTTTCTTCTTGGTTGTCAGATCCTCCTTCTTGCTCCCCAAATGACCCTGTGGCTCTCAGTCTCAGAGCCTCCCTCTCTCCCTGCAGACAAACCTGCAGAATCTGAGTCAACTGCCTCCACACCACCGACCTCCACCCTGCAGGCTCTCGGGATTACTGGGGTCTCTCACTCTATGCTGTGTTCTGAATGTGTCCCCGAAAACTCATGTGTTGGAAATGTACTCCCCAGTGCAACTGTGTTGAGTGGGAGGTGGGGCCTAATGGGAGATGTTTATGTCATGAGAGCTCCGGTCTCAGGAACGGATTTTTGCTGCCATAAAAAGGGCTTGCGGCCAGGTGTGGTGGCTCACACCTGTAATCCCAGCACTTTGAGTGGCCAAGGTGGGCGGATCATGAGGTCAGGAGTTCGAGACCATCCTGGCCAACATAGTGAAATCCCATCTCTACTAAAAATACAAAAATTGGCCGGGCGCGGTGGCTCACACCTGTAATCCCAGCACTTTGGGAGGCCGAGGCGGGCGGATCATGAGGTCAGGAGATCCAGACCATCCTGGCTAACATGGTGAAACCCCGTCTCTACTAAAAATACAAAAAATTAGCCAGGCATGGTGGCGGGCGCCTGTAGTCCCAGCTACTCGGGAGGCTGAGGCAGGAGAATGGCGTGAACCTGGGAGGCAGAGCTTGCAGTGAGCCAAGATCACGCCACTGCACTCCAGCCTGGCTGGGCAACAGAGCGAGACTCCGTCTCAAAACAAAAACAAAGAAAAAAGAAAAAACAAAAATTAGCTGGGCATGGTGGCACACACCTGTAGTCCCAGCTACTTGGGAGGCTGAGGCAAGGGAATTGCTTGAACCTGGGAGGCAGAGGTTGTGGTGAGCCGAGATCGCACTACTGCACTCCAGCCTGGGCAACAGAGAGAGACTCCATCTCAAAAAAAAAAAAAAAAAAAAAGGCTTGCAGGTTTCAGGAGTGCGTGGGCTCTTTCAATCCACATCCCCTTGGCAAGAGGATGCTGCATTGAAGGCTCCATCTTAGAAGCAGAGACTGGGTCCTCACCAGACACCAAACCCACTAGCACATTGATCTTGGACTTCCCAGCCTCCAGACTATGAGAAATAAATTTCTGTTTTTCATAAATTCCCCAGTTTGTGATATTCCGTCACAGTGGCACAAAATAGACTAAGACACTTGATATGGTGTGGCTGTATGGTCCCCACCCAAATCTCACCTTGAATTGTAATAATCCCCACGTGTCAAGGGTGGGGCCAGGTGGAGATAACTGAATCATGGGGGCAGTTTCCCCCATACTGTTCTCGTGGTAGTGAATAAGTCTCACGAGATCTGATGGTTTTACAAAGGGAAGTTCCCCTGCACAAGCTCTCTTGCCTGCAACCATGTAAGACGTTCCTTTATTCTTCCTTCGTCTTGCACCATGATTGTGAGGCCTCCCCAGCCATGTGGAACTGTAAGTCCATTAAACCTCTTCCTTTATAAATTACCCAATCTCAGGTACGTCTTTATTAGCAGCATTAGAACAGACTAATACAACACTCTACTACTATCCCGGTGGCCACGTCACTCATTCCCCCACTAGAAATCCTTTGAGGACTCCCCATTAACCAAGAAAAAGTTCCTTGGCTTGGCATCCGCAGCTCTGCACTACCTTATCCTGAGCTCACGGCATCCTGGCTTTATCCCACAGCCTTACCCTCCTTCCACCTCAACTGCTTTCTTCCCACAGCTGTTTGTCTGCTGCTTTCTTCCTTCTGAGCTGAGCCTGTGCCATTCCACCAGCTTGAAATACCCACCCTTCCAGTTGCTGCCTGTGAACCACACCCCACCCTGCCCCGAATCCACCTCCTACAGGGAGCCTTCCATGATGCTCCCCAATGGACAGAATCTCTGCCTCCCCCAGCACCCACAGTTACCCCCTCACCACTCTGACCCTGACCACACACTCCTGTATACTGAGTTGATTTCTACACTGCCATAACTTGTATAGGATTTCACACATAAAAGGTACTCAAAAAAACAGGTACTTGAATAGATGAAAGTAATACCATGTTCTCACTTCTTCTTTGTCTCCCTCTGACCCTATTTCTAGAATTCACTAAATTTCCTTTAGTGGTCACACAATACCAAATGCTTCTGAAGTTCCCAAATCTTTTTGGATAAAGCTCAAAACATCAGTGCTCTTTAATCATCTGATCCCCACCCACTGGTCTCCATGCCTGTGGGAGGAGACACGAGTGGACAGCCACATTCCACTTCAAAATTAGATGCTTTTGGAATTTCAGGCCACCATGACCACAGACCTTTGTGGGGGCGACCCAAGGGGGCTCACGCTATTAGCTTCTTCCATGGGGTCTGGGGGGATAGAGGAGGAGGGGGAGGAGGGGGAGAAATAGCAGCCACCATTTACCCAGTGCTTACTATAGACCAAGCTCCAAGGAGGGCACTGCATGTCCAGTCCCATTTTCTATCAAATGGCCTATGAGGTACAGTTACCCACCCCACTCTCCAGTTAGGAAAGTGGATCTTGGAAAGATTAAGTACCTTGACCAAAATGGCACAGCTGCTAAGTATGTTTCCTGCCTCTCTTTTTGTTTTACTCAGATATAATTTCCATACCATAAAATTCCCAGTTATAAAGTGTGTAGTTCAGTGGGTTTTCGTATATTCACAAGGTTGTGCGCCCAACCCCATTACCTAATTTCATCACTCCTCAAAGAAACTCATATCCTTCAGCAGTCGCTCCTATTCCCACTCCCTGCAGCCCTGCGCAGAAAAAGTCTCTGCTTTCTGTTTCTGTGAAGGTGCCTGTTCTGGACATTTCATAGAACTGGAATCACATGCTATGTGGCTATCTGTATCTGGCTTCTTTCACTTCACATGGCGTTTTCAAGGTTTCTCCATGTGGTAGGATGTATCAGTAGTTCATCCTACTGATGAATAACATTCATTGTAAGATAGATCACATTTTGTTTCTGGCTGAATAACATTCATTGTAAGATAGATCACATTTTGTTTCTCCATTCATCAGTGGATGGGCATGTGGATTTTTTCCGATTTTCGTCGTTGTGAATAATGTTGCTATGCACATTCATGTATACGTGTGTTTGTGTGGACAGCATGTGGACTGTTTCTACTTTTCACAGTTATGAATAATGTTGCTATGCACATTCATGTATACGTGTGTGTGGACATCTTCTTTCATTTCTCTTAGGGATTTCATTTCTCTTAGGGATTTCATTTCTTCTTTCATTTCTCTTAGGGATTTCTTTCATTTCTCCACCCAGGAGTGGAGCTGCTGGGTCCTACGGTAACTCTGTGCTTTACTTTTTTAGGAATTGCCAAACTGTTTTCCAAAGAGGCCGCACCATTTTACTTTCCCACCAGCAGCGTGTGAGGGTTCATCCTGTTGTGTTGACTCCAAAGCCCACACTCTCCCTCCAGGCTGTGCCTCCTACCCTGGCCAGCAGGTGCAGCAGCCCGAGACACGGAGCTGGCACGGGTGCCACCGCCTAGCACACAGCTGGCTGGCCTCAACTATCAGTCCTACCTTCAGCGCCTGCTCCTTAAAGTACTGCAGGGCATAAGCAAAGATTTCAAGGGCTTTGACTTTCTTGCCATTTGCTGCCGTCAGGTCTGTATCCATGGTGAGGTCCTGGTAGGAGGAAGAGGAACAATAGTAAGAAGATGACACAGGAGAAACATGTCTCCTGGCTTTGGGGACTGCTCCAAGGGGACCTAGAGGATCCTGGTGAGCCATGTCTGTGTTCCCCCATGCTTAAAGAGGCAGACTAGGATGGCGCATCCCCCAAAATGGGGGCTGGCAGCAGTGTCCCCTTACTGTGTAGGAGGCTCTGGCTGTCCCCTCCAGGCCCCACCTTCACTGCTCCCTCCTTCTCTCCCTCTAGCTCCTGGATCCTCTGGGAGCAAAGGTTTCAGGGGCAACAGTAGAAGTCAGGAAGAGAGAATAGGCAGCAGGTGCCACTCCCCATGCAATTTCCGTACAATTTCCACATTCGAACACACATGGTCACGCTCAGGATCCCCCCTGATGGAGGCCTAATCGTACCAACCCACTGCCATCCACGATGCTAAACAGACGAAGCTTTCATTCCCCATTACGCTGCCAACCAAGTCACCAAAATAGAAGAGCTCCTATTTTAAGGCTTGCCCTATCTAATCCGCCAGGAGCCCAGCATCACTGCTTTCCTCTCTCCACCAAAAGTGAAAGCAGCTGCTGAGTGTGGTCCCAGAGAGAGGATGCTCTGCAGAGCCTAGATGCTGGTGGACGGAGATCATTAAAAAATGATGAGAAAAGTCCCTGTGGGGTAGGGATGGGCAGGGAGTGAGAGCAAAAATCAGGAGGAAGCCCCCAGGTCTCCTGAACCAACAAACTCATTACTGCCAGGGGGAAAAAAATCACTGGGGCCTCCAGATTGTCCCAGGCTGGGTAATTATGCTTTGCCTTGGGAGTGAAAACGGGCATTGAGTTACTAAGCTAGCCATGTGGAGCCCGTCTGTGGCATCCTGACCTATCTGCACTTGCTCACTCCTCCCAGCCAGCTGCCTTCTGCTCCTGGTGCCCAACAAAGATACCCCAGCTTTAGGGCAGCAGCTCCCAGGCTCAGAAAGGTGGTCAAGTGCCAGGAAACCATGGCTCTGAATTGAAAAAAATCCCTGTGCTTCCTTCCACCTGCCATCCTGATACTCAGCATTGAATCCCATTAGGCAAAATAGGAACAGTTCATTTCTAGCAGAACTTGGTCTGCACCATAGAAGGACAACCACGCCGATGGGCACAGAGCCTTGAAAGGCAGGGTGCTGGCTGCTGAGTTTCCCACTTATGTTTGCTTTGTCATCTGCAAGTGCTCAGCAGACAAATGAAAGCAATTAGAATAGGAGCTTGCACTTGACTAGAACTTAATCTGCACCAGGCATGGCTCTAAGAGCTTTACGTATTTTGATTCCTTTAATCCCTACAAAATCCCCATGAGGAAGGCACTGCTATTGTCTCCATTTGACAGAGAAGATAAAACAAGGCAGGGAGGGGTTACATAACTTGGATTACATTTCTCAAAGGTACCAGTGACCAGATTGAAACCCAGGCCATCTGGCCCCAGAGTCCGTGTTCTTAAACATCATCATCATCCTGCCTTTCTAAGCACTGACAGTTAAGGAAACTTTATGGAATAAAATGCTTAACTCAAAAAAGTTCTGTCCTATGCCCTATCCTTTTCTACGAAGCTTCGGGGTGGCAGGGGGTGCCTGTTTGATGTAGGTGTCTTATGGAACACTGGCTTGCTGGGAGCTGAGGACACCACTCAGGGAGTTGGACCTCCAATTATTGGGCACTTGATGTCCTGAGCTCCCCCTCCCCACATAAAGAGCTGGATGTACCAGTTGTTACTGGTTGTTACATCCAAACTGGTTAGTTAAGAGCTACTGCCCTGAGCTCGCCATGTGTCCCTAGCCCCCAAGTGGATCCTTCATGATACACTGATCTCTCAATAATCCAGAAACTAAAGGGAGAACTCCTGGCACAGCAGGAGGGCCCCAGCACCCCACTTCCCTGGTATAACCAGGGTCTACTCTGATAGGTCCATTTCCAAGACAAACGAGTTGTTAAATATTCAGAATATCTCCCTGCCCACATGCACATTGGAAAGCATCGCATATTCCACAAAAGCACTGTGTGCTCCAGGTTGTGTCTAAAATCAAGGTAAATGGACACTGATTTCTGCTTGGAAGAGACCAGAGGGCCCCCTGGGTTGGGAGGACATCCCTTCCCCACCCCAAGGCTGGAGGAAGCTTGGCACTCCATTGCGGGGGACCTGGGCCCAGGGGAGAGGCTTGCTCACCCCAGTGGTGTGCAGCTTCATCTTGAACTTCTCCAGGTACAGCCACTGCTTGGCCTCATTGGGATCCAGGTCATGGTAAAAGTCCCTGGCGGCATACCCGAAGCTGTGGAACTTCCTCTCGGGAGTCAGCAAGATGGTGGTTGGAGTCTTCTGATTGGACACACCAGGGTCACCTCCCTCCCATCGCCTGCCACCAAGGGAAGCAGAAGTTATGGGGCCTTCTTTCAAAATCCCAATTCAGGCAGCACAGATTTGAACACCTACTGTATGCATGAGTGTCAGTAATGTGGGTGCCCAGAGGCACTCTGCTTCAGCTGGATGAGCAGCTACTAGAGACACAACTTCAGTTAAAAAGGAGATGAACTGGGCAAGTGCAAAGTTCTTGGTCAATAACAAGCTCTGCCTTAGTCTTTCATTCCATGTTTACTGAGCATCTACTCTAAGCATCTACATGTTTGCCAGGTGCTGGCATGAAACTTTTATGTCTGTGTCTTCAAATAATTCACAATCTGCTAGGCAATGTATTTTTTATTTGCAAGCACTCAATAGCAGATATACTGCTAGCTTGAATCCTGTCTGAAACAAGGTAGGTATAGACAAATGCATAATTACCTGCCTTATGAGATGCAAATGAGATGCCCAAGGTGCCAGCTGGTAGGGCAGAGGAAAGAATGCAGGATTCGGGGGAGAACTGAAGAAGAGACAGACAACTGGATCTCAAAGGAGGGAAGGATACTCCAGGCTGCTCAGAGGTGGGCCAGCCGGGGCATTCGTGGAGAATGTGAAGTGACTGCGTTGGTTGGAGAGAGTATGTGAGTGGGAAGAGTGACTGTGAAAATGGGAAGGGTGAGAAACACGATTGGGAAAGCAGCTGGAATCAGGCTGAGGAGAACCCTGGGGACTTAGACATTTACTCTGTGAATAATGGGAAGCCACTAAAGGTCTTAGAGCAGGGGTATGACAGAATCAGAGCTGCTGTTCATAAGGGCAAACTGGGCTAAATGGAGGGAAAGGGAAGCCAGGAGCCTCAGACCTATCCTGGAGCAGAGGTGAAAGAACCATAGAAACAGATCTCAGCACTCTGGGGGGCCAAGGTGGGAGGATTGCAGTGAGCTATGATCGCATCACTGCACTCCAGCCTGGGCAACACAGCAAGACCCTATCTCTAAAAAGAAATGACAGAGAGAGAGAGAGAGAGAGAGAGGCTGCAGTGAGAGCAAGGGAAGGGGGAAGGGGAAGACAGGAAACTCAATGTATTCGCTCACCTTTGGGGCCACTGCAGAGAGGCCAGGGCCACCAAGAGGCCAAGCTGTTCCCTGCCCAACCAGGTCCTGGCTCCTGGCCTGCCGCTGGCCATGTGACCCCATGCACAGCCCGTGCGCCCTCAGGTGGGGACGCAGTGCAGGAGGGAAAATGAGCCACTTTCCTCACCCACTGGAGAGGTGGCCACGCTCCCAGCTGATCCCGGACCTGCTCCCGACCCCATGACATTAAGCATCAGTAGGACCATCTCAGTCCAGATGGAGCTCCGGCCTCCACTGATATTTGCTGCTCAAATGGGTCTGGAATCATCCCTGGTCAATTTCCTTGTCAAGCTCCATCAGGATGCTGCTCCTACCCCAGCAGCCAAAGTCCCCGAGGTGACCGCACTGAGACACAGGGATGGCCCCGATGCCAGGCAGCTGCTCCACACACTGCCCTTCACAAATGGAATTGTCATTAACAGTGACATTATCAGTAGAGAATGACCCCATGAGCTTTTTCCCTTCAAATTTTTATTCCTTCATTCCCACTTAGTACAAAAAAAAGTTAACTTTCTCACTTATAACTTGTCATATTAGCATCATTATGCTAATATGTTCTGATTGAAATAAAATTCAGGTAGAACCAACCAACCTCCCTCCAAAATGTCGACCATTACTAAGGTATCTCCTCTAGAGGCCCTGAACTATGGTGGTGCTTCATAAGTACCCCTCCCCAAGCAAGTTCAAAGTTATTTCCACTCCTTCTTTTCTGTTTTCACTGCATGACTATTCTGTGGAAATAACATTTCTTAGAACAACTACATAGAAGCTGATAAACATTGATTCTAGCCTTTAATGGCATATTCTTTTCCACTGGGATTTTTCATCTTGGGGGTCAGTGGTGGCAGCACAGACCCTCACAGCATCTGTCTGGCTAAATGGAAAGAGATTCCTGGTGGCAACTGAACACCAAGGGCGATGCTGTCAACAGAGTTGGCTATAGAACCGGCTTTTCATCATTTCCTGATGACATGACACCCAGGAGTGTCTGTACCCTCTTAGGACAAGAGCTTCAGGCTGAGCCACATCTGGTTTTCAAGAGGAAAGGTGAGACTTAAACCAAGATTGGGGTGGGAGTCACTTTTATTATGACTTGTGCTTTACACAACCCTTTATAAAAATTCCTAAAATACAAACATTAGCAGGGTGTGGTGGTATGCACCTGTAGTCTCAGCCACTTGGGAGGCTAAGGCAGGAGGATCACTTCAGCCCAGGAGTTTGAGGCTGCAGAGAGCCATGATCACACCACTGCATTCCAGCCTGGGCAAAGGAACAAGAGCCTGTCTCTTAAAAAAAAAAAAATAACAACAACAACAAAACTAAAAAATATTAATCTAGGAGCAATACTAAATTCCACAATTACTCAGTTGAAGAAACTGCAAAGCCAATTACAATGTATCTTCAGAGTCATCCCTTGGAATTGAAAATTGGGATGATAAATTCTGGGCTTCCAAAGATTCGAGGAGTCATACCCTGCAAGAAGATCATGGATCAAGACTGGGATCCCATGGATGGGTGGCACCCGGGGCCTGCAGGGTGCTGGGTGTGCGGGGAAGGGAAGGGGGCATCCCAGCACAGAGTGCATCCCAGGAGGCCCAGGGCAACTTTGCCTATGGGGCCACTTGGCTGAGATTCCCCTCATGCTGCCTTCTCTCTGGCAGGTGCTTTTTGCCTCTGGCTACCAACACCCCAGCACTTCTCTTCACTTGAAAGGGCCAGCACCTGGAGAGGATGTGGAGAAATAGGAACACTTTTACACTGTTGGTGGGACTGTAAACTCGTTCAACCATTGTGGAAGTCAGTGTGGCGATTCCTCAGGGATCTAGAACTAGAAATGCCATTTGACCCAGCCATCCCATTACTGGGTATACCCAAAGGATTATAAATCATGCTGCTGTAAAGACACATGCACACGTATGTTTATAGCGGCACTATTCACAATAGCAAAGACTTGGAACCAATGTAAATGTCCAACAACGGTAGACTAGATTAAGAAAATGTGGCACATATACACCATGGAATACTATGCAGCCATAAAAAATGATGAGTTCATGTCCTTTGTAGGGACATGGATGAAACTGGAAACCATCATTCTCAGCAAACTATCGCAAGGACAAAAAACCAAACACCGCATGTTCTCACTCATAGGTGGGAATTGAACAATGAGAACACATGGACACAGGAAGGGGAACATCACACACCAGGGACTGTTGTGGGGTGGGGGGAGTGGGGAGGGATAGCATTAGGAGATATACCTAATGCTAAATGACGAGTTAATGGGTGCAGCACACCAACATGGCACATGTATACATATGTAACAAACCTGCACGTTGTGCACATGTACCCTAAAACTTAAAGTATAATAATAACAAAATTTAAAAAAAATAAAAGAAAGGGCCAGCACCTTCCCTGCTTTCATTTTACTACACAGTAAGCACTTAATGGACAATCTCCTTTCATTTGCACACACACATTGTGAGGGAGGTATTGTCAGGATTCCCATTTCACAGATGAGGAAACTGGGGTTTAGCAGGTTCAGCAATTGCCTAAAGTCACACAGTAAGTGGCCAAGCTGGCACCTGGATCCCTCCATCACAGACACTACAGATCTGCGCCTCTCACCCAGGCCACAAGCTGGATTCACCCGGGCCAGGCTTCAAACATACTGCCCAGGCCCCTCCCCAGACCAACTAAATCAGAATCAAACCAACGTCTTTTCAAACCAGGAGCCTAGAGCCCAGAGATCAGAAATGGCTTGTCCCCAGTGGCATGGTGAGCTTGAGCCAAGCTGGAACAGAATCCAGGGCCGTCTTCGTAAGTGCCAATCACTGGCTCATTGCCCGGAGTCTCCACAGGTGCAGTGGTTGGCACCAGCCACGTGGCCCTCCCACCCACAGCACTCACCTCATCACATGGATGCATTCCGGCTCCTTGGTGAAGCTGTAGGCATAGCCACTGGATGTGGTCCCAAAGTCGACGGCCACCACCACGAGAAATGACTGCTGTTCTGAGACGTTGGAGTCAGTG
This sequence comes from Homo sapiens, assembly GCF_000001405.40. Lineage (NCBI taxonomy): Eukaryota > Metazoa > Chordata > Mammalia > Primates > Hominidae > Homo > Homo sapiens. Next base: position 116,270 of record NW_025791790.1, read on the forward strand.
TCGTTCTGCAGATATACAGTGAGGCATGGGGGGTGTGGAGGGGTGGGCCTGGCTTTCAGGAAGACACCCCTGGGGGGTCTCACCTTGCCTAGCTGTGAACCCCCTGCAGACAGAAAGACATTCTATATTCCAGCTCAAGTCTACCACCTGGGGAGAAGGCAGCCCAGCCTGGGCCCCCGCCTGAATGGCTCAGGGAGAAATGGGGGCATCCCTGAGTGGAGGGCCAGGCTGACTGGACAAAGCCTGCAGCTTGCCCACTCCTCTCTATAGACCGTGCCCGCACACGGCTAGTTACAGAAATTCTATCATCAGGGCTGGTCGCCCAGTAGTTCCTGAGCAGATACAATCTTCTTCCAAGCCCTGCTGCCTTCCGCAAGACCCTGTGCAGACCTCTGGCCACTGCCAGGAGCATTTCGCCAGCTGTGCCCTCTGTACACCCAGGTGACTGCTCCATCTGTGCTGGCATTTCATGCATGTGAGCAGGGCTGGGCATCCCAGGACCGTGTCCAATCCCACCAGGCCAGCCACATGACCCACTGTGACTGTCAGGGCCCAGGGCCTTGCCTCATCTAGATCACTTGGTCAGGCTATTTCAGGTTTCCAAGCCTTTCTCTCTCTCCTTTTTTTTTTTTTTTTTTTTGAGACGGAGTCTCGCTCTGTCGCCCAGGCTGGAGCGCAGTGGCCCAATCTCGGCTCACTGCAAGCTCTGCCTCCCGGGTTCACGCCCTTCTCCGCCTCAGCCTCCCGAGTAGCTGGGACTATAGGCACCCGCCACCACACCCGGCTAATTTCTTGTATTTTTTAGTAGAGACTGGGTTTCACGGTGTTAGCCAGGATGGTCTCGATCTCCTGACCTCGTGATCTGCCCACCTCAGCCTCCCAAAGTGCTGGGATCATAGGCGTGAGCCACCACGCCTGGCCTCTTTTTTTTTTTTTAAGCAGTTTACACTTTTTTTTTAACTCCCACAGAACTCCAAATTATAAAACCAACAAATGTTGGAGGGGAGGGGTGAGAATGCCACCCGCCTGGCCTCTCCTCACACCGCTCCCCTCCCTCACAGCCCTGAAGCTCTTACAGGACAACTTCAGGGTGCAAAGCTTGAAAACCACAGAACCTGGCCCTAGGGAACCAACCCTCCCAGTTTGCCCAGGAATAAAGGAGTCCCCAGGGTGCAGGACTTGCAGTGTAAAGGCCGGACAGTTCCAGGAAACCAGACAGGCTGGCATCCCTGCCTAGCAGTGACTCCGCAGTTCTCCCTGGGTCTTCTTTGTGCGTCTGCACAGCTCATGCAAAGCTGCCCTGTCTTCCGGGCACTCACTCAGGTTGGCTGCCTGTGCATCTACGTGCACACCCCTCTAAACGGCCGCCCCCTAACATCCATCTTTCCTCATACAGGGCAGGGTGGGAGCAACAGCCCCATCTCTAGCCCCACTCAATGCATATGAAGCCCTGCTCAGGGCTTCTCTACCAGGCAAGCTGTTCCAGAAGCGATTATACTGCTAGGGTCTTTTCGATACTGCAGACAACCGCAGTCAACAGAGTCCATGTATTCACCGATTCACTAGCCCAGAGTCAGCGGCTTCCTCTCAAGAGGACACCTCACAGGCTCTGACCCTGAATCTTTAAAGGGCTGCTCCCATCTCACCTTCTTCTGTGACCCACCCAGGCCCCTGCTCCAGAAGCACTAGCCACAGCACAGAAAGCCTTCCCAGGCTCGGAGTGGGGGAAGGGGCTTGGCAGGGCTCCTTTGGCCAGGACCAGGTCAACTTAATCTCCAACCAGTGAATGTGAGGGGCTGTCCAGCAGCCTGAACTGTGAGATCAGACCCAGAATGCAAAGGAAGTCAGTACGCACGTGTGCTCATGCGCACCCATGCGCGCACACACACACACACACACACACACACACACACACACACTTCTTACCACAATATGGGAGGGGGACAGAGGCGTTATTCCTGTGTCCCCAAGACTCCGGGCTGGAGATGAATATGCAGATGTGGGAGCCGTTTCTGAAAGGAAAAACAAAGCCGCCTCCTTAGAAGTGGCATGGACTGACCCAGGGGGAAGAAATGAGGGCTGCATGGCCTTAACTCCTCCAGGAACTGCGGCCTCTGCAAAGCCAGCTCACGAAATGGGCAAGGCCCAGCCCCAGCCAGGAAGGCAGGAACATCCGTTCCAGCACCTCTTTGCATTTGGTATTTAGAATTCGACCAAATGAGATGCTCCTTTCCTCCCAGTCGCCACCAGGCCTCTCACTCTGTGCCACTCAACCCAGCTTAGTTGGAGATGCTGGTCAGTCCCCGAAAGCTCCGCTCCTGGCTGTGTTGTCTGTGGAGCCAGAGGCCAGGCTCCATGATGGACTAGCAGGACCTGTAGCCACCTGAAATTATGTCAAATTTTTGTGTGCATTTTCTTGGAAGAGCATCTACAGCCCTCGGGTTCCCAAAGGGGTGAGGGGTACCTCCCCCAAGGAAGAGCAACCCCTATCCTAGGAATGTAGGATGTGATGAAGCTTCAGAAAGAGCGTCCTTGCCTAGCAGATGCACCAGCTCCTCCCTCCCCCTGCCAGGGCATGTGAATTCATCTCTCTTCAGTGATACTGAAGGTTTGGGACCTTTTTCAATCATAAAAACCACAGCAAAAAGGCAGACAGATCAGCATTTCTAGCCCCTGCAGATGGGACCCAACAGCCACGAGGTCAAACAGGCGAAGGGCCAGCAGCTAAGCAGCAGGAACACCATTTTGTCTGTTCCCCTGCACTCACCATCATTCAGGCCTAGCATTTTTCTGAAGTCTTCCCAGAGCCAGTGGCTCTGCCCCAGGAATGGGCCCCCCGGGAGAAAAAACACTCTCCCTGGCCGGCATTGGAACGCGCTACAGTGCTCTCCCTGCCTGCTGCCTAGGGCTGGCAGGGCACAGAGAAGCTGAGTGAAGACTGCGTGCTCCCACCGCAGAGACGAAGGCCGGGCACTGGGCACGTGCAACGACCCAGCACCACCCTCGGTGCTCTGCACATCCTGCTCCGTTTAGTACATACGTACTGAAACCTGCTAGGAAGAAGTGGGTAATTTTCCAAGGCAATACTTGTGGTCAAGGAAACCAGAAGGTTTGAGGTGTCTGAGAAAAGCCTGTCTGCTTCTAGGGGAGCAGGTGGAATGGTTCCATCTGCCTCTTCTGCTAAATCACTTTGGGTTAATCCCAGGCTCTTGCTGATTACTTTTTCTACTTGATGAGGACTCAGGCAGCATCATTACAGTGGGCACCAAACAGGCTGTAGGAATGAAATGAATCATGCAAGAGGGAATGTGAAGCCTCAAATCTGCACAGCCACCTCCCACTCTCTGCAAGCTCACAGCCTCTCTCCGCCTGATGAGGCTCAGTTCCTATCTTGGGGAGGGAGAGGCACAGTCCAGTAATTACAGAGGCAAAAATCCAACTCGCTGGGTAAAGGACTTGAATAGACATTTCTCCAAAGAAAATACACAAAAGATATATCAACAAGTATATGAAAAGATGTTCAACATCATTAGTCTGTAGAGAAATGCTAATCAAAACCAGTGAGATATGGCTTCACACTGACTAGGATGGCTACAGTTTTTTAAGAAAGGAAAATAACAAGTGTGTCAAGGATGTGAAGAAATTGGAATCCTTGAGCATTGCTAGTGGGAATATAAAACGGGACAACTGCTGTGGAAAAGAGTTTGGCAGTTCCTCAAAAAGTCAAGTACAGAATTACCATATGACCAGCAATTCCACTCCTAGGTATCTACCCAAAAAACTGAAAACAGGGACTCAAGGAGATACTTATATGCAAATGTTCATGCAGCATTATTCACAATAACAGAAAGGTGGAAACACTTCCAGTGTCCAACAACAGATGAAGGGATAGGCTGGGCGCGGTGGCTCACGCCTATAATCCCAGCACTTTGGGAGGCCAAGGTGGGCAGATCACTTGAGGTCAGGAGCTGAAGACCAGCCTTGCCAACATGGTGAAACTCCATCTCTACTTAAAAATACAAAAATTAGCCAGGCGTGGTGGCACATGCCTGTAGTCCCAGCTACTCGGGAGGCTGAGACAGGAGAATCATTTGAACCCAGGAGGCGGAGGGTGCAGTGAGCCGAGATTGTGCCACTGCACTCCAGCCTGGTGACAGAGCAAGACTCCATCTCAAAAAAAAAAAAAAAAAAGATGAAGGGATAAACCAAATGTGGTATATCCATACAACAGAATAGTATTTCATTGTAAAAAGGAAGAACATTCTTATACATGCTATAACATAGGTGAACCTAGAAAATATGCTAAGTAAAATACATGGATGCAAAAGGACAAATATTGTATCATTCCACTTATAGGAAATCTCCAGAATAGGCAAATTCACAGAGACAGAAAGTAGATGAGAGGTGACCAGGGGTAAGAGGAAGGGAGAAATGGAGAGTTCTTGCTTAATGAGTACAGAATTTCTCTTTGGGGTAGTGAAAAATTTTGGAAATAGATAGTGGTGATGGTTGCACAACATTGTGAATATAATTCATGCCACTGAATCATACACTTAAAATGGTTTAAGTGGCAAATTTTATGTTATACATACTTTTTAAAAAAACTTTATTGAAAAGTTTAAATCAACTTGCTCATCTGGGAGGGGAAGCTATTTCTGATTTCTATTAGCACCCACGACTAACAGAATTGCTATTAGCCGTGGGCGCTAATTGCTCTTGAAAAGAGAATGGAGAAGTCAGCTCAGTTCCTAGACCAGCCTGCTGATCTCCACCATCTTTGCTAATCTCCCAGCACAAGGGAACCCCTTCCATGAATGCAGGGGGAACTCTGCCTCCCCACTAGGGGTTCCAGCCAGATGGTCCTTCCACCTGTTGGTGAGAGGTCCTCCCTGCCCACAGCCCTTGGGCAGCCTGCGGAGAAATGCCATCAGCACCAGAAGCCACCCTCTCCACCTGCTACCTGGAAGGCCTGCGCCATGTGTCCACATTTGCACAGACGGTCCTGAAAGAAACCAAATGTCTAATTGCCCAGAAAATCTGGTGTTGGCAATTAGCAAACAAGCTATTATCTGCAGACAAACTATCCACCCCGCTGCTGCTTGGTCCTAATTATCCCATCACTCAGCCCTTCTCAGAGCCCTGGGTCTTCTCACTGATTTGCAAAATAGCCAAGGTTGAGCCACACATGGAACACATGTCTTGGGTCCCCAGGGGACTCTAGGATACTTTGAGGGCAAGAAGCAAGGATTTTTTGGTTCTGCTGTACCTCCCTTCAACCCCACGGCAACTGGGCCAATATTAAACAAATCATTTGACTTGCTGATCACTCAGCCAGGCCTAGAGGCAGCCGAACTTCATGGACTTTTTCCATCAGAAGTTAAAATTCAGCTACACTGTGCAATGATTGAAAACTGATCTGCACAGAAGGTATGGAGGGGTAACATTTTCAGAGATACCTGCACATGGTGCACACCCACATCTATATATCTGTATATTCCAAATCAAAGATAATTCACCAGCGAATGTCCATCAGTACAGCACAGAAATATACACAGCCAGTAGAGACATGCTACTGTTTCTCTACTTCACTACTTAGGATGTCAAAATGATGCTCAAAAATTCTCAGGGGAAAAAAAACGGAAAAGCCTATCTCACCCCCTGAGGAGAATGGGGAGTTTAATTCTGATGTGTCCCAACAAGGCTTGAGATCTTTCATTCAGTAGGTAAATGATCAGAAATAAAATACAGAATATTATCTATTAATCTATGAATATCTGACAGATATAAGCTAATGGACAACAGGAGAGAATTGATGTATGGAATGCCCTATACATACCAAGTGTAGGCTGTGTGTCCTGGCTGTCAATTATACAGAGGCCATTATCTATAGTAAGGAATCCCAAATGCCATTAAGTGTGGCCCTGCCTCCACTGCTTCTATAAAGCTAATACAACAACATCTCCCTCGGGACTACTCTCACCCAGGGGATAGTCCAGTTCAGTCCCCACAGGTTGACTTGGACACACTAGGAACAGAAGAGAAAGGCTAAGTCAACACCTCGACACAAATAGAGTTTCCTATAGTCGAGGCTTGAGAGAAAGAAAGGAAGCTGAAGAAAAGAAAATCCAGACCCTTCTGTGGAGGTAGAGAAGGAAGATTGCTAAAAGACAGGTTAAAGAAAATGCTCTATCAAGAAATGTGATCAAGGACAGAGCTAAAGGAACTAGGAGTTTTAAGAAATACCTACAGCACCGTTCCAAGTAGATTAAATAAAGGCCTACTCAAAGCATCTTCCACTTCAAGCACTAAGTTACCCTGAAATCCCATAATACAGAGAGAGTCAATGTTTTCACATCAAGGAATCAGAGAAACACTGACTCTTTCTTTTTTTTTCTTTTTTTTTTTTTTCGAGACTGAGTCTCGCTCTGTCGCCCAGGCTGAGTGCAGTGGTGCGATCTCGGCTCACTGCAAGCTCCACCTCCCAGGTTCACGACATTCTCCTGCCTCAGCCTCCCGAGTAGCTGGGACTACAGGCGCCTGCCAACGCGCCCAGCTAATGTTTTTTTTTTTTAAATTTTTAAATTTTTTTATTTTTAGTAGAGACAGGATTTCACTGTGTTAGCCAGGATGGTCTCGATCTCCTGACCTTGTGATCCGCTGGCCTCGGCCTCCCAAACTGCTGGGATTACAGGCGTGAGCCACTGTGCCCGGCCAACACTGACCCTTTCAAGAATGCAAACTACTAGCCACAAAACTATGGTTAAGCGGAAGGGGAAGAGACCTTTCTGGGGAACAGACCTTTCTGGGAAACAAACAGAAGAGCTTTCTGGGGAACAAACAAAAATTAATCATCATGTCTCCTTTGCTATTAGCTACGTGTTAGATAATTTAACATCACTTCAGTCTTGCAGAGCTAGTGAGCAGAAAATCTTTTTTAACTTTAGTGAACATAAAAATAAGGTGATGAGGGTGGTTATAGATTAACTCACAATCCTGGAACACCCCACCCCAACACATTAAACAATTTTTGCCAGAAAGAGGGGTATATAAAGAAATGAAAATATTTTTGCAGCAATGTAGAGGACAAATAAATAAAAGTATCAAATCCTGGCCAACAAGTCTCCTGCCCCAGGATTTCTTACAACCCCAAACCAGGCAATTGAGGAGGAACTAGTTTAGTTTGTTAGGTTAATCCTCATCGCTGGTCTTATTGGTTTAAGGATTAAAATGCAGGCTTCATCTGGGTTCCTGCTGTAAAATGCAACACATATAAAATTCAGACACAATTTTATGTGGTCCCAGCTCTAATGGCTTTAATCAAAGCAGATGTTCTTAAAATAAAAAATAGTCTTGATAAGAGAACCTCAAAGAGAGCCATAATTCATGAACTTGCTTGCTGTTCTCCTCTGCCAAAGTCATTAGTCAGCAAATGGCCGTGAGCAGAATCACAGACTCTCTGAGATACATAAAATCAATTCTGCTCCATAAATACATGTTTAAAGATGAAGACAGAACCATAGGGCTGACTTTATTCTACAAGGTTCTAGGCTCCGAGGAAATGTGACAGGTGGTCTCAACAATAGTGACATTCTAGTTTCTCTAAACAGTCCTTCTTGTTAGCTTTCAGATTTACGTATCCATCAAATAAATGCCCAATTTGAAAAGGAGTTTTAAGGTCTGGTACTTATGATTTTAAAAAATGCAATATATATATATATATATATATATATATATATATTTGCATTTCTTTTTCCCTGCTGGCTGTCAGATGTCAGGCCTTTGCTAACGATTGCCTAAAATCAGGCTATTTAAAAAAAAAAAACCTCTCTCTCTTTCTCTCCTTATATGCCTGCCTGCAGTGTCATCTTTGAAAACTGATCAGCTCAAGGTCATATGTAGGTTACTGGCAAACATCTTTTCAGAAGGAAAATAAAAAATCTTTTATTACCCTATAACAGGCTTCATGGCTAGCTGAACTAATGCATTATTACTGTAAGCTGAACTTCCATTTCAGTAAATAATTTATGGGCTGTTTTTAATCACTATGGTGGATGTCCAGAGTAAATGGAAATTTTATTGGCATGAACCAGGAGACCCTCTCACTACAAAGAACACTGAGTGTAAAATAACCACTCTGCAAATGCTAAATAATAATTATGGAAATGAGCATTTACCATGGCAGAGACAGTAGCATCAAGCCCAGGCCAAGTTGGGGGCAGCATCAGGCCCATCCTGACACGGGGTAGCAACTTCTTGTTACCCCTCCTACCTCCCTGAATAGTCCAAGAGATGAAATGTCGCAGGGAGAGCGAACTGGGGCAGCTGAGTTTCCCAAGACAGGAAAAGCCCCGAGTCCCTGCAATCCCAAACTGTCAACAGGGGTGGTTCACAGTCTCTCTCCTAACTGCAGGTTCATGCATTGGTCCGTGGGCCTCCAATTGTGTCTATACATGTCCAGGCAACTGCTGGGAGAGGTGAAGACACACTTGCTTGACCAACAGTTTTACTACTAATTTTCATGAATTACACTCCTCAACCTTACAGCCCTTCCCTCCAGCATCCAGCATTTGAAGAGGCTCTACCAGATCACCCTACACATGGTACTAAGATGTTTCTGTCCTCCTGGCTTCTCTCCCATGGACTCTGCTTGTTGGGGTAGGGCCAAGTCTTACTTCATCTCTAATTCCTTAGCTCTTGACATGTCACAAGCACTCAATGTTGGATGGATGGATGGATGGATAGATGGATGGATGGATGGATGGGTGGGTGGATGGTGGGTGGATGGATGGATAGGTGGGTGGGTGGGTGAGTGGATGGATGGACGGATGGATGGGTTGGTAAGTGGATAGATGGATGGATGGATAGATGAGTGGATGGATGGATGAATGGATGGACTTTTTATGTGTACCCAAAAGTGGACTCAGTGACTATCCACAGACTAAGAGTGTCAGGGAGTTCTTTCCCAACTGAGGCATCAACTCTCTTGAGTTGGATATTAGTAACATACATGCTATGCTGAGTGACCTCCAACAATGTGGGATCAGCTCTCAAACCACCCAGGTCTGCCTCTCTCCTCAGATACCCCTTTTGCCAGTAAAACCACCACTGCTCCCAGATGGAAGAGTCCCTAGACTTCCTCCTTTCTCATTCTACCCCCAAGCCCTATCACTCCTTCTAATTAGCATCTCTTGCATTCGCTGGCTCCTCTGCTAAGTCACCACTACAGCCTTGGTCCAGATCCTCCTGAACTTTCAGTCTCCCTGTCCTGGGCCTGCCCCCTCCCCCAGACACACTCACCCTGCAGTTAAAGCCATGACTGCAGATACAGAGAAAGCCATCTGGTCAAAATCAAGGTCTGCTCACCTAACTCAACCTTGTCAGGGTCTTCCCCTGATGCCCATTTCCCATGCAATAAAGTCCAGCACACTACTGACCCCAGGCTCTTCTAAGTCCACCCCACCTTCCTCTGCAGTCTCTTCTCTCTCTACTGCCCCACATCCCTGGCCATACCAAACCTATCCACAGGCCTTGGAACATCTGTGCTTGATTCAGCCTCTGGGCACTGCACATGCTGTTCCCCTGCCTAGCGTGCATCCTGCTTCTACAGCAGGCAAATTCTGCATCACCCTTCAGGGACCTCCACCTCTAAAAGTCAGCCTCCTCTTTTAAGAGAGAAGAGCCTTCTCAGCTCCCCCGGTGCAGATGAGAGAAGAACTTGTGCATCAGTTCCTGGTGATCAACTGGAAAACCCAGATGGGGGAAACTCGACAAGAGAGACAGGTTTCTCCTAAAGATAATCACAAGGAAAATCTACAGGAAAGGAGGGCAAACCTATGGACTAGAAGGTCTCAGCTCTGCTGTGCATCAGAACCCCCGAGGCTTGTTAAAACACAGATTAATGGTCTCACCCCCAGAGTTTCTCATCCAGTAGGTCTGAGGCTGGCTGACAATTTGCACTGATAATTTCCCAGGCTATCCTGACTGCCCCGGAGACCAACTGCGACAGCTTAGAAGAGACTTAAAACACACATCAACTCCAGTAAATGCAGTGGATGGACCTTTAGTGGATCCTAACTCAAACAATCCAAAAATGTTACATTTATGAGCCAATTAGAAACGTAAATGCTGACCAGACATTGGTAATGCTAAGGGATTATTATTAATAGTACAGTTACATAATTTTTAAAAGAGCCCTTGTCCTCTAGGGATACATTCTCAAATGTACAGACAAAACAATAGCATTTCTGGGATTTGTACCAGAATAGCAGGAGAGGGAAGGGGCAGGGATTAAACAAGGTTGGCCACAAGTTGATAATGACTAAAACTGGTGACAGATTCATGAGGCTTCAGTATAATATTTGCTCTGCTTTTGTATGTTTAAAACTTTCCATAATAAAATAATTGTGATTTGAATGTGCCAGTTACATGGAAGCTCCCGGACGGCAGGTCAATGTTTTTCTTCCGCTGTCCATCAGAGCACCTGGCCCATACATGGTAGGTGCTCCACACATATTTGGCAAATGAATGAACAAACCAATAAGGATACGAGTTCACTGAAACCTACAAATGTGGACTCTGAAAGCTTGGGAAGGTTTTGGACCTGGGTCTCAGGGTGGGTGAAGGGCTCCCAAACATCAGGCTTCTCTGGGGCTGAGGCTGGTCGGCCCAGTAGACCAAATAGCCCTTAGAGCAGTCAGAATTTCAGCAGGCACCCACTGGCCCCCTCGCAGATGACAAAACAGATGTCCAGCCACCAGCTGAGCAGCTCCCACTCTGGGATGGGCGCCAGCCAGATCTCAGGTACAGGGCCCTCTGGTCATCAGCTGACAGCTCCTAGACTTTGTAGCCGCTCTGTGAACCCAGGGCCTCAGAGGAGGTGGGGGTGGGGGGTATCCTCCATCCCCTGCTGGGCCCCTCCATGTCTGAGAAACAGTAGGGTATGCCCCTGCAGAGAGGCAGGATCACTTAAAGGACCCTGACATGCCCATTTTGCTTTGTCCTTCAGACTTGCTGAGATCCCAATGCCATATGGGAGGGGCAAGATGTAACAGCCTTGGCATCTTCCTGTGGTTCTCACCCCAGACAGGAATGGTGAGCTGAAATGCTGATGTTAGATGCCACCCTGTGACCCTTTGTACAAGCTCTGAGTCCTCCCGAAAGGCAGGTGTGTGTTGGGGGGTGGGGTGGGGGGTGTGTATGTGTGTGTGTGCATGCATGTGCTCCTGTTGGGGACAAGGGCACTGGGTTTTCTGCTCAGGCCCCAGGTTGGCCTTAGCATTGGGATGAGTGGAGGTGGCAGGCCAAGCAGTCATACGTGGGCTGCAGGCCAAGGGGCATGTCTCCTAGAATCAGGACGGCTTTGGAATAGGAGCAAAGCCAGAGTTGGCTCTTCGGCTGCTGCTCTTAGAGGAACAGAAGAAAAACAAAACAGCTCCTGAGGAGGATGAAGAGAGTGGAGGTGTGGATGTTTGTGAGCCTGGGGACACTGCCTCACCTCCCTCTGTGCCCCCTTCTCCCTCCATGAAGTGAGAATTGGTATTCTCAGGGCCCCCGTCACTCTGTTATCAATGAACACAGGACCAGTGAAACTCTGAAATAAACACCACCCTCCACCCACCATTTTCCAAATTCCTTCATGGGGTCAGATATTCATGCGTTTTTTTGTTTACTTTTAGGCTCTTTTGCAAGCTTATTCAAACTCAAATTATTAATTCAAAACCACTAGAAATATACAAACCCAGCACTCTATTGGGAAACCTATCATAGTCAGCACTCACTGCATGTGTATTTCATGCAAGCTAAGAGCCTTACAGGTGTATCTCATGGGGACCTGCCCTGTAAGGAAGGTTGCTGTGAATTACTATCATTATTCCCATTCTGTAGGTGACAAAATGAAGCCTAGAAGGGTAAGAAAGAAGCCCGCATCCTTAGTCAGGATGCCACCCAGGCAGACTCAGAGCTCTCTGACTCCAAGCCTGCACACCTGCACGTTCCCAGTGCCACTAAGGCATCATCTCTAACTACGAGACAGGTGTGAATGTAAATCCCCATTTCACAGACGAGCAAATAGCTGGAGGAAGTCAGGAGTCACCATCACAGGGCAGCTCCTGGCTGTCTCTGTCTGCAGGCTCATGAGACTGTGTGGCGTATTCTTTGGTCTGCAAAGCTCTATTTCGAAAACCATAATTCTCTCTCAAATCCGAAGATCCAGGTAGGAGAGGCACATATTGGTAAGAGAGATGTTAGAGGTACTAGTTCAAAGTCGGGAAAGCCTGAGCTCAAATCCCACCATGACCACGTCCTAGATGCATGCCACTGGGTGGGCATCTATATCTGTAAAATCTGGCTCATGGCAAGCACCCGATACATTATGGATGTTATTTTGTTTATTATTATTGTTACCATCATCATTATAAAATCGTTCCAACTGCTGCTGAAAAAACGACCGTGTGCTTACACAATGACACAAGCAGAGCCCCCACCTTTGCATAATGTCAGCAAATACATTTCCTTTACGTTTTGCTTCTCTAGGCTTGTTAATCAAAGCTAAAAATTCCCACCAGACAGGAACTTGGCAAAGGGAACCTTCAGGAAAATTTAGTGATAGGAAACGTGAGGGCCGGTGCTGCCAGGGGTAAAGGAGACCCTCTGGCCCCAGTTTGCCCCCCAAGCTGTCTGCTCACCCCAGGGAACTTTCAGAATAACCTAGAAGAACTTGAGAGGCCATATGACCACAGCTTGAGCCTTCCTGTATTCTACAGGGAAGCTCAGTCTCCATTCTAAAACTCACTGGGTCACTGTCAAGACTCTCTTCAGCTTCAAGGACAAGATTCCACCTGCCTGGGCCTCTGGAAGCCCTGGGTTTAGACTTCCCCAATTTCATCATGAACAGCCTTGTGACAGGTCAGTCTTCAGAGGCCACGGCACAGCTAGTGCTGCCTGGACTGAGGCTAAAGAAAGGGCCGAGGCCATTCCAGGCCAGTTGGTTTCCCCTTGAGCAGAATCTTTCACCTCCCAAACACTCACCACCTGTCCCTGGGGAGGGGAGAGGGAAGAGGAGGTAAGGGTAGGGAAGGTGAAGGTTCATCCTTCTTCAGCTGAACCCTCTCATGAGAGAGAGATACACCATCTCCAGGCAGGAAGGGGAACCCTTGGCCACCATGCCCTCCAAACCTGGGTAACTCGGGCACAAACCTTCCACTCTCTGCCAGTGCCCAGGAGGGCAGAGGCTTGAGCACATTTAAAAACCCCTCTGCAGCATTCCTTAATGGAAGAGACATCCCAAAACAGTTGTACGGCTTGTGCACTGCACAAAGGCACCAACCTTGAGGGACACCTCCCAAGCAGGGCTGCACTTACCCAGAGGTAAGTGTGCTATTTTCTTACCACAAAGGCATCTTTCCAAGCCTTGAAGGGCTGCACTGCCTAGAGTGGGCCCCTTTTTTTGAATTTTTGCATCTAAAGCAGATTTTTTCTAATTCACCCAAAAAGTAGCCATGGCACTTAATGGTCAAAGAAGGGAAGAAAATGCTGGGTAAGGTACTAAGTTTCCCGCAAGTAAAGCTCAAGCAGAGGCCAGGCAACCACTTAACTGAGTTCTAGAAGAGGAACAGAAGGTCAGAAAAACTCAGGGGTGTGGGGTGAGAACTAGAATTTATGAATCGACACGAGATTCACTGAATACTTGCTACATGCCGGGTGTTGTAGAGGCTGAGTAGCTGTGCCGAAGTGCAGTGGCCATGGACCTCAGAGGGCTGGTTCAGACCTCGGCTCAGGTCCCTGCTGGTCTTGATAGATGCTGCCAAGATACTGCTGTGTCCACTCAAAATCCATTTCCTGCTTCTTAACTAAACCCCAATTTTTACATTTGGGGTGTGATCCCTCCTGATAACTTGGGGTAGATCCCAAGTAATCTAAGCCAGTCATGGCAAGCCTCCTCCCGCTGCCAATGAGGAACGTGGGAGTGGGTTTGTGACCCACAGTCCTGACTGATGGGACATGAGAGGAAGTCGGCCTGGGGCTTCTGGGAGGAAACACCCCGCCTTTTAAGTGAGTACCCTGAGAAGAGGGTGGACGCACAGGGGCGTGAGGCCACACCTGCAGCTGCCACCTTGCCACCAGCACACAGATGCAGCCACCACCAAAGGAACCTCCCTCCGTCCTTGAGGGGGTCCATGAGCTGCCAAATCAGCCTGCTGGGCCCCTGGACTTCCCATTCTGGTCATAATTTCCCTTCTCTGTAAACAAGACAGGATCAGGTTTTCCATGCTTTGCAACTAAAAACTGATTCCTAGTTATGCAATCTTGAACAAATTACTGAACTTCTCTGGTGCTTGGTTTTCCTTATGTATTAGATAGGGATAATAATAGCTCATACTTCCCAGGATTAATGAGGATTAAATAAGAATAATGCAGGCAAAAGTCTTAACAAGTGTACCTATTATTACTTAGATGGCATCTCATATTATCTTATTAAACAACCCAATGAGGTGGGAAATATTTAACAGCAGAGAAAACCAAAACACAGAGAGGTTAAGCATCTTCCCAAAACCACACAGCCAGCAAGTCCCTGTCACCAGTGCCTGAGCTCCTTGTCTCTACCACATTCCAGCCCTGAGGTTCCTGGACTCTGTGACTCCCACTCAAGTCTGTACTGCTGGCAGCTTGCAGCAAAGAGCAGTGAAAAAGTAAAGGGCTTTACTGGGAGTGGACCTAGGGAGTAAGTGCTAATGAATAGGAGTTTCTTCCCAGGGTGATAAAAATGTTTGGGAATTTAATAGTGGTGACGGTTGCACAATCTTGTGAATACTATAAACCACTGAATTTTATGTGGTGAGTTTTATATGTGAATTATATCTCAATTAAAAACAAATCAAAGAGCTGCTAGAATCAGCCTTGTAAGGAGAAGTGCCCCTGTCCCCCTGCCTTCAGGAGCCCAGCCTCGTCTCTGGGAATGGACTCAGTCACCGCCACCCACCCTGGGCACCGCCCCCTCCCTCCTCCAACCTCTGTGCCTGGTAGAGTTGGCCACAACTTTCTCCCAGGACCCATCCAGTGGTTAATCTAGCTGCGGACTCCAGACTCTCCAACTGGGGCTGGGGCAAGAGCTGGCACTGGCCTCTCCCAGACACCCTGCTCTTTGGCAACGTAAGAATGCAGGCACAGGGCCGGGGCAGCGCCCTAGTCAGACAGCTGCAGTTTCACTCTTCCCCTAGATGCTGGGAAGCTGGCTAGTCAGAGTAGAATGGCCCCACTCCTCCCCAAGGCCAGACGTGCCATCCTGCTGGGGTGCTGCAGGCTGACTTGCTGGTGCTTCCCCTGACAGATCAGCTGTTTCAAGCTATGCCAGAATAAATGCTAGTGAAAGCCTCAAAACCTGCAGCTGTAACTAGTCTTCTGCAGACCCACCTTTGACAGGAGGGCAAACTGCACAGCATTAAAACATTCTGCTGTGTGACCGTCTGCACGTGCCAGCTGCAGCTAGCCAGGTCCTGGGCAGGGAGGTGTGCAGGAACCTGCCTAAGAAAATGCTCCTTCCAGGAAATAAAGGAAAAGAGAAGGCCAATGCTAAAAGGGGCTCCAAGGAGCTCTGAGAGAGGACGAGACAGGACCACCCACTGCAGCCTGGAGGGGAGGCACGATGGGAACTGCCCAGGATGCAGGGACACCCCCAGAGGCTAAATGTTCTGCTCAGAACAGGCAGCCGCAGCACAGACAGCAGACTTCCATGTCAGAAGAGAGGAGACAAAGTCCTTCCAGAGACTTTTTAAGACCTTTGAAGTCTAAAATCCCTAATTACTTCTTACTTTGTAAGTACAAAATCTTCAATGACAGACTTACATTTGTACAAAAAGAATTAGTAAACTGGGTTAAGTTATTGATTAACTTTAGACTTTGCTAAGTTAAGTATGCATGGCAAAATTTCAAGGGTAACTAATCTTGAAAGCAGTTGAAATTGAATCCCTAACTTCAGAGCAGTAAAGAGAGATAAATACACAAGACACTGAATGAACAATTCCTCCTGGGGACCGAATTTGCTCAAAGTCTTTTCCCAAGGAATCCATAGGTCACAGAAAGGCATCTCCCAGGTCTCCTCCACAGAGCACAGGATCCAGAGGTCACCCAGAGCGTCCCACCTGAGGCCAAGCAGCTGTGATGAGGCCAGCAGGGTGCCCCCTCTATCCCACCTTTTTATATTGTACCAAGCCAGCTCCTGGCCCAGAGAAGGCAAAATACTGACCATTAAATTTTGATGAGCTTTTGAATTTGAACTTAAAGTAAGTCAATCTCACTAAAAACAAAACAAAACAAAACAAAACGAAAACCCGGGTGTGCGTGACTATAGCAGGGTAAGAGCAAACAAACTACAAACCCATCCTAATCCCCATCCCTCCCCTCCCCGGCACTGAAATGCAAATATGAGTCTCTCCAAACCCTTTACTGAGCTGCGGTGGGGACAGCAGGCCTCAGAAACATATACACTCCAGGAAATAATGTACATGCTGTGTTTAGGGGCCCTGGGAGGCCGTGCAGATGGCCCCAGCTGCCATAATATTCACACTCATCATCATGGCTGCTCACCCACGTTGGTGTGTACATGTTATGAAAGAATGAGTGAACACACGTGGCCTTCCAGGACCCCTTGTTCCAGCCCCGACACATCAGTCTCTGCAGTCCTTGGGTCTGGGGAATGAGACTTTATACCTTGTTACCATGCTCAGATGGACAACCGCCCAAGTTCAGGCAAGGGAGGAGGTCTTGGGCACCCAGGGTGGTCTGTCTCCGGCTTTTCATTACTGCTGCCCCACAGACCTGTCCCTCCCAGGCGCAGGCCTGCCTGCTTCATTAGGCAGGGCAGCTTCTCTGACTTCATTGTTATCTTTAACAGCTCCATCTGGACCTCAATCAATCAGCGGCCATCTCCTCTGCAGAGAGGAATGCTCCAGACGGGTCAGGCGCAGGGTGACTAGCCTGACTTCCAGCAGGCGCACAATCCTCCCCCACAGAGCCCAAGATGTCTGTGCCCACGGTGCTGACTGCTGGGAGGTGGCCACAGGAATGCCTTGGACTTGGAGAAGTGGGAGCTCGTGCTAGGGACACCCACACGAGCCCACGGCTCCAACCAACCCTTGTCTCCCTGCCTCTCGCTCTCTCTCCACAGACCTAGTCTGGGAGGGTCCTGAATGGCATAGACACCACACTGAGGACATTCTGGGTTAATGAACAAGAAGAGTTCCAGGAGCTGACCCTGCAACAGGAAGACGGGTGGTATGACCCAGAAGTTCATCAGTGGGACCAACCAGGGCCGATGTGAAACATCCCCTGCACCCCACACTCGGTGTGCCTGTCCTGAGCCCTCCTCTGCCCATCCCTACCCAGCTGTCATCAGTCTTATCTTGTGGACATGCATCACATGGGTATTTAATTTATGAGAATCCAACTATGAGATCTCAGGCCAAAACATAGTGGGATGATTTCAATTTAAATATTAAATTGAATATTAAAAACACTGTAATTAAAAGCCCTGTAAAAATCTATTTTGCACATGGACTCTTCATGAGACACCATGGTAAGTGCCACAGGGGTGTTAGGACAGACTGACATCCCTGAAGGGGGTGGGGGAAGGTAGCTCCAGGAAGGTGACGCTTGGCTGGCTCCCGGGAGGGCAAGTTTGCTGAATGAACAAGGTAGGGAGTAAACAGCAGGCCAAAGGAACAGCAAGGGCAAAAGCAGAGCGGTATGAAGGGCTTCCCAGAGAGCCTTATACTCTCCCAGCTGGTGTCACTGCCTCCAGGCTGTCCCACTGGATCACATCACAACCACCACCATCATCATGTCACTCCCAGCCTCAAGCACCTACTGTAGCTCTCTATCCCCTTCATATCAGATGCAGCTGTTTAACCAATCAGATACCTCCATTACCCCCTAACCATTGCCCCCCCATCATTCCTGTCCTCATACAACCCCCTGCACAGCTGGGCTGTGTCCTCTGCCATCTGGGAAAGCCATCTGCCATCCCTCAGGCCTGGCTTGTGCACTGGCTGTCTGCAGGGAGAGAGGGGCCCGCTGACCTTCACGTGGGAGGATTTGACCCTCATGCTGCCCTCCAAATAGGCACAGCCCCAAGCTGTTCTTCCAGGGGCAGGGGACGGGGCTGAGGACCCCGAATGAGCTGGGTTCTGGGGCAACACCCAGTTCCACCCTCACCAGCTCTGTCACAGACGGGACTCTGTCTCAGGTCTCAGTTTCCACAAGTACGTACCAGGCTAACAACTGTCTCTCTCACAGGGCTGCTGTGGAGACCACAAGGGGTGACCCATAAGGAAACTCCAGCACCGAGCTGGGTGAGGTTAGGTGCTCAGGAAGCATGGGGCCTCCCCTGACATTCATTCCTGAGACCCACTGCGCACACGTGCTGAGGTTTTAAAACTGAATCTCCAGCCTGAGGACCATGAGGACCACTAAGCCTCAGGTGGGACCAGCAGCCCTGCTCCTGCAGTCAGCCTCTCCACCCGTTCCTTAGATCCCGGCTGCTTCCAGTACCGAGCCACCTCCAAAGAGAAGGGCTGTGCTTCCAGGCCCATCTACCATCTTGCCCGATGCCCACCTGAGGGCCCCTGACCATACCCCAGTAGCTGAGGCCAGCGGGTCACCTGTACCCAGGCATAGACAGCACTCTGCTGAGCCATCCATGGCTGCATGGCCCCAACAGAGGCGTATCGGGCAGCACTGGCCGGAACTTTAGAAAGACAGAGTTTGGGCTACTTTTCAAGCAGCCCTTCTGCACCTTGTACAGAGCCCTGCACCTGGGGAGGGCCCAGCCTATCTTGCTTCCTGGCTGTTTGATGTCAGGAAACCACTGGATCTTGAAAGTGGCTTTCTTGTGGCTGGAGGCAGGGCCACAAGGGAGTGTCACAGATATTTCCAGGGCAGAGATGAAGAGAGAACACGCACTTTGGGTTCAGAGACCAGAAGGCCACCACCACTCTCTCCCCATGGGATCTTTTTTTAAAACTTTATAAAAAAATTTTTAGTTTTTTAAATGTTTCTGATATATTATATTTGTACCTATTTATAGGTGCCTGTGAAACATTGTTACATGTGTAGAATGTGTAATGACTAAGTCAGGGCACTTAAGGGCCATGGGGTCTTCACCAAGATTCACGACCTTTTGAGTCTCCATCTCCTCTTCTAAAAGAGAAGACCCCCTTCCCCATGGTGCTGGATTTTGTGACAGCCCCTCTGTGAGCTTTGTCTCAATATGCCTGGCCAGTCTGGAAGGCTCCCCACCAAGGGGTTAACAGGGGCTGCCTCTGAGTGTGGGGTCCTGGCTGTTTCCTCCTTTCTTGCTTTGGATAATATTTCCTATAGTAAACACGTAAGTCTTCTGTCATGAGAACCAAAGCTGTCTCAGGTTTTACCCAAAACCTTCCCAGGACAGTGTGGGGCAGAGGAGACAAGTGAGTGACGCCTCCTGTCCCTTCCTGTGGCCTCACTGGGTGCCCTGCGGCCCAGAGCCCAAGACTCCAGCTGCTCCCAGCCATAGCCCTGGTCCTGCCCCAGGTCTTTGCCTGCTCCTCAGTCTCCTGAATCAGGACCCCCAGTCTCTAACAGCTCCCAGTGACCACCTGGCCCCCAGACCCTGAAGGCCAACTCTCTGCCTGGCAATCTCCCAGCAACACCGTGGTGCAGGCTCTTTTTCTCAGCTCCGTCCCCCAGAGGAGGAACCAGAAGCTCTGGAGGTGTTGAGACCTGCCCAAAGCCTCACAGCGAGGAACAGCAGAGCTGAGACTTGAACCCAGGACTTGAGCTGTTCCCACAATACCACTTTGCCTTACAGAGAAAACACAGTGCAGGGATCCCACCTGGAAGGGGGCTCTCAAACTGCCTCATCCTGTTAGCCTCCTCCAGGGCCCAGGAGCTCCACTTGATGGGAATTGCTTCTGGCTTCAACACTTAATTCCCCAAATGTCCCCTGCCTGAAGTGAGCCAGCCTGTGTTGAGACAGAAATCCTGCCACCCTGTAGGGTGGGGAGCACTCTGCTAGGGTCCCAGGCCTCACGCTGGGCCTCCATGGACCCAGCTCCACCTCTGAGCTTCCATCGTTAACATCAGGTCAGCATCCCAGTGTTGTTCAGTCGCCAGATTTGAAAAGAAGCCTGAAGCTGGCATGGCAGTGTGCAAGGGAGGACTGCGTGGCCCCCAACAGGCTGGGGGCCCTGAGAGAAGGGGCAGGCGAGCAGGGGAGGGGCACCAGGAATTGTATGCATATTCACAGATAGAAAGGGGTCACAAATTCTCTCCAAGGAAGACATCAGTTATGAGTATGGGACTGGGGAGAGATGTGAGGACTGAGGAGCTTTGCTGGCAGAAGGAGTGGGGGTGGCAGAAGGGGCGCTATCTTGGGACACAAAACCCAGAACTACTCCCAGCGAGTCACAGGGTGAGAGGGATATCCCACTGCCAGGGTGACTGTATTTTTGGCTTCTGTGTTTATGTTTTGCAGTTTATTTCTGCCTCATCGCTAATATTTCATTAGAAAGTGGCTCTTCCCTCCCCCAACCCCTGCCACACTAATATTTTTGGGAGGAAATCTTAAAAAGACCCCAGCTGCATTCAGCATGCTTGCGTGCTATCTTAAGGCCTGCCTCTACCGGCATAGGACTCCGTTTACAGAATGCAACTCAGTGAGGAAGTCAAGTTTTCTATCTGAATATTCATTCAACATACAAGGTTTAGACACACACACACACGCACACACACACACACACACACACACACAACAGGCCAAGCAGGACAAGGTGAATTCTGACATTCCCATGGTTCTCTACCCAATCCTATCCTGCTGGCTGGTCTTCCCTCCCAAGAGCCTCAGGCTCTGTCCCCTGGCATGTGGCACTTTGCAATCTCACTACCGAATATTTACCAAAGGCCCAAGGAGTGTGGTGTTGGGGCAGAATCTGCACCCATGACCAGCCATGACTTTGTGGGTTCAAGTTTGAATAAACTGCAAGAACCCCAAAGGAAGACCTACCAGAAGCTTCTAACATCTCTCAGCCCATTCCTTCCTCTGTCTCTGTCTCCCTCCTCCATCTCAGCTGCTCACTCTACCTCTCTCCCCACGCATGCATGCACATTCAGAGTTATATACGCACATTCCCAGCAGCCTCCCCCGAGACAGGCCTGGCAGGACCCCACCAGCTCCAGCAGTAAAAGGTCCTTGCTGGGTCTCTGATATCACTACCTACCACCCCCCTTGTGAGTGCTCCCCAAAGGGTTGGTGTCCTTGGGTAGACCATCCCCAATTTCCCACAGTTCCTTCTGGGGGTGCCTGTCAAACCACCAGGCCCAAGAGGGGGCTGCCCCTCAACACTCCTACCCTTAGCCTCTACCCGTCCCCAATATCCCATCCAGACAGCCAGTCTTGGCTTGCTCCGATGAACGGCATGGCCCTACTGCCTCCAGGTGTGCTGTCGGGCTCACTGTCACTTTCTAGGTTTCTGTTTCTTCATGTGGAAAATGAAGTTGGCTCACAGAACACTGAGAGCTCCCACACCTCCACCCTCCAGCCTTAACTATTTCTCACTGTGATAATCTAAGTCACACTAACTAACGTGCCGATGACGGATGAAGACCCCAGACTGCACAGCAACACCTCCCTCAGATCTCCATAATTCAGTGGTTCCAAGACACTTATGTTTTCTAAGAAGTAAAATCTGCCCCCGTCAAAAAACTGTGGATCTAACAAAGTGTTATCACATTTTGATTTTGCCAAGAACAGACATTAACACTTTTATTAAACCTATCATCTGCTACTATATTCAATTCATAAAAGAAAGAAAAATAGGACTATATCAGTTATCTATTGTAATCCAAATATTTCTAACTCCAAAATTTAGTGGGTTAAAATAACAATAATTTGCACAGAATTCCGCAACTTGGGCTTTTCTCACCTGGGGTCAACTCATACAGCTAAAGTCATCTCAAGGCTCATCTGGCACTAGATGGGCCAAGACAGGCTCATTCATGTCCATGTTCACCTAGGCTGTCGGTCGGGGGCCTCAGTTCCCCTCTAGGTGGCCTCTCCAGCAGGACGACCTGGACTTCCTAAATAGCAAAGGACAAGTGAGCAAGCTCCAATGCACTGGCAGGAATTTTCAAGCCTCTGCTGGCTTCCTGTTTGCCAAGGTCCTATTGGCCAAAACAAATCATGTAGCTACACCGAGTCCAGGTAGGAGGAGATGACACAAGGGTGTGAGTACAGGCGTCCCCAACTGAGGATGATTTGACTTATGATTACTTAACTTCATGATGGTGTAAAGGCGATAGACATTTAGTAGAAACCATACTTTGAGTAGCCAAACAACCATTTGTTTTTTTACTTTCAGTACAGTATTCAATAAACTACATGAGATACTTTATTATAAAATAGGCTTTGTGTTAGATGATTTTGTCCAAGGGTAGGCTAATGTAAGTGGGTTTTTTTTTTTTTTTTGGTTTTTTGGAAAGAGTCTTACTATGTCACCCAGGCTGGGGTGCAATGGCACAATCTCAGCTCACTGCAACCTAGGCCTCCTGGGTTTAAGTGATTCTCCCATCTTAGCCTCCTGAGTAGCTGGGATTACAGGTGTGCACCACCATGCCCGACTAATTTTTTTGGGGGGGGGACAGAGTCTCACTCTGTCGCCACTGCACCCAGCTAATTTTTCTATTTTTAGTAGAGACAGGGTTTCACCATGTTGGCCAGGCTGGTCTCGAACTCCTGACCTCATGATCTGCCCACCTTGGCCTCCCAAAGTACTGGGATTACAGGCATGAGCCACCGCGCTTGGCCAATTTTTGTATTTTTAGTAGAGACAGGACTTCACCATGTTGGCCAGGCTGGTCTCAAACTCCTAACCTCATGATCCACCCACCTGGGCCTCCTAAAGTGCTGGGATTACAGATGTGAGCCACTATGCCCAGCCTTGTAAGTGTTCTGAGCATATTTAAGGTAGGCTAGGCATGGATGGTCTGTAGGTTAGGTGGATTAAATGCATTTTCTACTAATGATATTCTTAACTTACAATGGGTTTATCAGGGTGTAACTCCATCGTAAGTCAAGGAGCATCTGTACCTGGAGACAGGATTTATTGTAGGTTATTAATTCAATAAGCTACCACAAGGGCACAATATCAGAAATTGTTTTTCAGATGGAAAAATTTAGCTTCGTGCAAACCTGGTACACAGTCACCTGGGTAACTTCCTCAGTGACGAATGTAGGCTTCAAGCATCAGAAGCCATCATGAACTAGTCCAAAGTGGGGCATTTGGGAAACACAGCACTGATTATCGCATTCTTTCCAACTGAGCCAGAGGTGACCTCAGAATCCTTCTTAACACAGCTCTCTAGATAGCTTCTTCCCTATTGGTCAGAGAGGTAGACACAATTCAAGTCTATGTGCCACTGCTTATCTAAGGGTTTTATATGCAGAGCAGGAGTTTTCTTTTAAAAGAGAACACTAAAGAAATAATGTTTAACCCAAAGGAATGTGGCATCAAATCAAGCCTGCATGAGTAAGACTCCCTGATGGTGGAACTCCAGGCTCTGTGACCAGGGGCAGGTGCGGGGAGCCTTCCAGGATCCTCAAACCACCCCCTCCAGGGGCCCATCTTAATGCTCCTTATGTGCCAGGCAATAAGCCTCCCGGGGCAAGGGCCCTCACACATCCCTGCAGGCGGCCTATGGCAAGCAGAGACATGGGACCCTCATTTTAGGCCAAACCTCACTAGTCCTGGCTCTCTGGGTACCTCACACAAATGTGAGTTGTGTCTCAGCTCTCAGTTCTAGTGGGTTCTCAGCCTCTGTCTGGCAGCATTGCCCAGCCCAAGGACTGACAAAGGGCACCCTGCAGACTCCATCTCTCCCTTCTCCAGAGCCAATGAGGAGCACGCCGGGAAGGTCACAGGAGCCCACCCCCAACCCCTGACTGGTAAGAGCCCCAGCGTACAGGCTGGGATGCTATCATTGGGTCGACCCTGAAAGTCCCTCCCTTTGGGGCACGGTCCAGGCCTTGAGATCCCCCACCATCGGAGGTGGGGCTTTCTGCAAACCAGAGGATCCTGAATGACAAAATCCTCCCGAGTTGGAAATACTCTGCACTGACATGGTGGTTACATGACTACAGTTGACCTTTGAACGACATGAGGGTTAGGGGCACCCACCCCCTGCACAGTTAAAAGTCCACATATAACTTTTGACCCCCCCAAAACTTAACTACAAATAGCCTACTGTTGATCAGAAGCCTTAACAATAACATAAACAGTCAATTAACACATTATTTTATGCATTCACGAAATACCTAAATTCTTGATTTTTTTCAATATTTCTAGGCTATGCAGTAAATTGTCACAAATCTCCAGAAAATGTTCCAATATATGTATTGAAAAAAATCCATGGATAAGTGGACCTGTGCAATTCAAGGCCATGTTGTTCAAGGGCCAACTGTATCTACATTTGTCAAAACTCATGGAACTGTACACCCAAAAAGTGTGAGTCTTACCTTATGTAACTTAGACCTCAATAGACTAAACTTTAACGAAATCTCCCAGCCAGCTCCACTCCCTAATATCAACCTTTCTGAGTACCTCGTGTGTGCCCAGTGGGTGTTTTGAATAATAAAGATGGCCAGGCGTGGTGGCTTACGCCTGTAATCCCAGCACTTTGGGAGGCCAAAGCAGGCCAACATGGTGAAACCTCATCTCTACTAAATATACAAAAATTAGCTGGGCATGATAGCAGGCACCTATAATCCCAGCTACTTGGGAGGGTGAGGCAGAAGAATCGCTTGAACCCTGGAGGCAGAGGTTGCAGTAAGCTGAGATGGTGCCACTGCACTCCAGCCCGGGTGACAAAGCGAGACTCCATCTCAAAATAATAATGATGATGATGATGCCTAACATTGACTGCACATGTTTTATGTGTAGGACAAATTCTTTATATACATGACCTCATCTAATTCTCAGAACCAACCCGTGAAGTGCTGTGACCCATACTTTTGAGATAAGGTCACGGGGATCTAGAGAGGTTGAATACCTTGGTGAGGTCAAGGCCAGGTATGGGAGCCAGGACCCAAACCAGGACTTTCTAACTGAGCTAAGCCCGTTTCACTCTACCAAGTGCCCATCCAACACTAGCTCCCAGGCATGGGGTGTTGAGTGCTATTTTATACTTAACTGAGGCCCAGAGAGGCTAAATGACTTGGCTGAGGCCACTCGGCTAGTCAGAGGTGGCACCACGATCTGAACCAAGTATTGTCTTATTCTAAAGCCCACTCTGTCTTACTGCCCACAAAGGAGGCCTGGGGTCCCTCATGCCCCATTCCATCTGCTGGGCTCTCTTCTCTGGGACTGCCTGGCCCTGGGTGACTCCTTCCCCAGCCATGCCCACCCCCAACCTGTTCTAGCAGCTTTGCTGGCCAAGACTACCAGAGGCTGACGCCAAAGGATGGACGCTCAAAAATATCTTGGAAAGCATCTCGCCATAGCTGGTCTGACACAGACAGACTGAGGCTGTGGGATAAGGGCCTTCCAAGGGCCTCTGTACAGCCTAGGAACCTGGCTATGAAGGAACCGGGCCCTCCTGGCTTTCCCAGACCAGGTCCAACATGGTTCCCACCCTCCCAACGTTTCCTGGGGGAGAAGCCGAGGAGCTTGGACAGGCAGGAATCAGTGTGCTCCCAGGCGTGGGCCAGCTTCTCTGCGCAGCCCGTTCCCATGGTCTGTCCCAGGGTCCTGCTGCATGGGCCCTTGTGGACTCAGTCAATGCTACATCCTCCATGGCTGGCCAGTTGGCCTCCCCTGGAGGGCCCCGGAGTTGGTCCTTGTGCTTAGGCAGAACGGGCCCCTGACCATGTTGGTTGCCCATCTTTCTGTGCCTTGGCTCTTGGCAGAATGTCTGTTTTAAAACGAATTTTGCTTGTGAGTAAGTAAACCTTCTCTGGCCAGAGGAAGCCAAAAAGGTACCTTTACAGTGAGGATCCAGGGATGGTGCCCAGAACTTAAACCAGCTGCCAGGTCTAGGAGGGGAAAGTGAAGCAAGTGACTCAGATGAATGATGCACCCCTTCTGCTGCTCTCTAACTGCCGGCCCCAGGGAAACCACTGCCAGACCGGATGACCACGGTCCCTTCAAATGGGGCCAGCGGCCATGTGGACTGACTACAGCCCATCACACACCAGAAGAACACACCAAGAGTCTGTGCATTATTGTCATGCAAGGGACCCAGTGGTCAGTTACCCCATGTAGCATGAAACTTTTACATGGGAGAAAGTAATTTTCTCTAAGAAAGAACAAAAGAGCAAAATTTCTAACAGGTAGTCTCTTTCTTCTCCATTCTTGTACAGCCCTCACCTAGAAATTCTTTACTACACAGGGCTTACTTCAGACACCTGTACTGTTAACTATTTGTGGGAGATAATTACTCTCTGACCACCAGATATCGTGCCCCCTAACTCCCCCTCTCTCAGCAAGGTAACCCTTCTTCTGGCCAGGGTTGACTGTTTCTGGGTCAAGTCCTGATCATACCTGAATCTTGCGGCCTCGTCTGGGAATCTGGACTTGGAAAAGAAAGAAAAACAGACAGACATCAGACCTCCTGTGT
The DNA here is from genome assembly GCF_000001405.40 of Homo sapiens. NCBI lineage: Eukaryota > Metazoa > Chordata > Mammalia > Primates > Hominidae > Homo > Homo sapiens. The sequence goes on from NW_025791790.1 coordinate 142,910, forward strand.
ATCAGAACTTTTCATTTCAACATGGGGGTCACTGTTGGGGGCCACATTTGCCCTAAAGATGGGAAGCAATCCTAAAGTGGTCCTGCAGAGAGGAGGGGTGGGTGACATGCAGAGCAAAGCAGAAGTAAGAGACAGGGCCAGGGGTGGTGGCTCATGCCTGTAATCCCAGCACTTTGGGAGGCCAAGGTAGGCAGATCATTTGAGGTCAGGAGTTCGAGACCAGCCTGGCCAACGTGATGAAACGCCGTCTCTACTAAAACTACAAAATTAGCTGGGTGTGGTGGTGCATGCCTGTAATTGCAGCTATTCCAGAGGCTGAGACAGGAGAATCGTTTGAACCCGGGAGGCGGAGGCTGCAGTGAGCCAAGATCACCCTACTGCACTCCAGCCTGGGTGACTCCGTCTCAAAAAAAACAAAGAAAGAAAGAAAGAAAGAAAGAGACAGAGGGAAAGAAAACTGCCATGTTCCCAACACTTTCCCCTCCTAGACCTAGCAGCAGGTTTAAGTTCCAGGAACCAGCCCTGGATCCTCACTGTAAAGTTACCTTTTTGGCTTCCTCTAGCCAGAGAAGGTTTACTTACCTGCAACCAAAATCCCTAATCAAAACCCTTTCAAAACAGACATTCTGCCAAGAGCCAAGGCACAAAAAGATGGGCAACCACTACTGTCAAGTGAGGGAACACACAAGAGACTAGAAAAGAAAAGCTGGGCCTGCGGCTCCACCATTGCAGAGTGTTTTATTCACAGCAATTTGACTTGGCACTTCATTCCTTTGAGTTAAGCATTCTTCAAATACTTTTTTAAAATGTAACTCCTGCTGGAGGGACAAGTCATGAATTTGTTAACGGCAAGGAGGTTTGGATCCTTGTGCCGTCTCTGAGTGACCGGGAGTGGCTGGCGGGACTGCTGGAGGATTCTGTAGCCATTGCGGAGTTCAGCTGGAAAGCATGCAGAGGGAGTCGGCAGACCTCGATTCTGAGCCTGGCTTTGCCTAGTGTCCTGGGGCAGTCTCTTCCCCTCCCTGACTTCAGTTTCCCCATCTGTAAAATGAGAGGGTGGGCCCAGTCCAGACATTAGACAACCTGGTCCCATCTAGCTGTGGATGTATCCATGAGCTCTGTTTTCTAACTGCTGGCCCAGGGAAACCACCACCCAAACTGATAACCATCATCCCTTCAAATCGGTCCAGCAGCCATGTGGACTGACTACAAGCAGTTGTTTTCTGAAACTTTCATCTGTCCTTTGGGCACAGACTCCTGCCTGATGGTTGTGCTGTAAACAGTTTCTTATCCCAGCCAGCGGAGATGGTCACTAAGGGACAATGACTAAAGGAAAGAAAAGGAAGTAAGTGGCCAGAGGAGTTTAGCCTTCAGCCCAAGGAAACATGGGAGACAAGCAAAGAGAGGCCAGCCTGAGGCCTCAGAGGCAGCAGGCTGGAGCCCGAATACCTACAGCTTCCCTGTCCCAAACAGAACCAGCCGCCTGGGTACAGGAACCACTGTTCCTCATCACAGAGAAACCAATAAGATCACGAGGTCTGATTTACAAAACATAGGAAGCCCCAAGGGACATCATTTAATTGTCAGTTTATAGGAAGCAAAGGGCACTGGCGTAATCCATTTCCCTCTGAGATCTTGGGTGCTAAGTGGGTCGATGAAACAGGAGCTCCATCCTACAGAACTTACTCCTGGAGTCTCTGTTTTCTGACATTAAAATTCTGAACATAACTGACAAAACTACCCACTAAGTATGCAAACATCTGGGAAGCAAAGCAGTCTCAAAATTTCAAATGACTGAATAGGAAGTGACTGTAGGCTCTTCCTATTGGCTGTTATTTGAGGCTCCACCCCATATCGGAGCAAATATTTTTTAAATGAACACTTATCCCACATCAAATATAAATACACTCAGTCCTCAACTTAGGATGACTCAACTTATGATATTTTCAACGTTTTTATGGGTTTATAGGGACGTAACCCTATTGTAAGTCAAGGAGCATCTGTTCAAGCACTTCCACTGTAATGCAGCATATTTTCCTACAAATCTTCACATTCTACAAACCCATACACTAAAAATAACAGGATTCATGAGGAAAACAAGGTCGGTGTACATCACTCCACACCTGCGGAACCTTGCTACCGGAACCTTTCCAAAAACAGTAACGGAGCACTCACTTCTTAGGGGGCCATTCTCATCAAAATGCAAAACCCAACAGGGCACAGTGGTTCACACCTGTAATCCCAGAGCTTTGGGAAACCAAGACAGGCAGATCACACCTGTAATCCCAGAGCTTTGGGAAACCAAGACAGGCAGATCACCAAGACAGGCAGTTTGAGACCCGCCTGGCCAACATGGTGAAACTCTGCCTCTACTAAAAATACAAAAATTAGCTGGACATGGTGGCACACACCTGTAGTCCCAGCTACTCGGGAAGCTGAGGCAGAAGAATCACTTGAACCCAGGTGGTGGAGGCTGCAGTGAGCCGAGATCACACCACTATACTCCAGCTTGGGCAATAGAGCGAGACTCTGTCTAAAAAAAAAAAAAAAAAAAGCAAAACCCATCCAGGGTGTCACCCACACACCCATACCCATCATTTTCTTATAGGGACAATGTCTTTGCAGCTCCTTCATCTGCCCTCTCAGCTGCCAACAGAGCTTAAGGGAATGGGGAATGGAACAATACTAAAACAGCCCTGACTTACACTAAAGGTAGTTGCATCTACAGATTTTCAGCTTTTTTTTTTTTTTTGCTTTTTTCATATATTAGCCTTCAATCATGAAAAAAGTGCATTCTGGGCTGAGCACGGTGGCTCATGCCTGTAATCCCAGCACTTTGGGAGGCCGAGGAGGGCAGATCACAAGGTCAGGAGATCGAGACCATCCTAGCTAACACGGTGAAACCCTGCCTCTACTAAAAATACAAAAATTAGCCAGGCGTGGTGGTGGGCGAGTGTAGTCCCAGCTACTCGGGAGGCTGAGGCAGGAGACTGGCATGAACCCGGGAGGCGGAGCTTGCAGTGAGCCGAGATCGAGCCGCTGCACTCCAGCCTGAGCGACAGAGCGAGACTCCGTCTCGAAAAGAAAAAAAAGAAAAAAGTTCATCCTGATCTGTCAAAGTGCAAACATACTGGGAAAAATTGAGAATGTGCCAACACAACTTTTCTGAATACCACCATCATTCTTCATTTATCACTTATAGAAACACATGTTCTAGCACAACAAACAAATAATTGTAAGTGTCAGACAATCACTGGGCACTTGCAGAACGTCTTAAGAAGTGAGATCTAACCTACAAGTTGCTTTAAAGCATAATATAGTTTTCTAAAGTTTGTAGTTTCAACATTTTTGCCAAGCCAACTCTGTTAGATTAAAAATAGCCACACATTCTTTGCAGGTCCTCTCACTAAGAGGTGAAGGCAATTTCTCCATCCCTCTATCTGAGCTGGCTTCAAGACTTGCTGTGACCACCAGGAATACAGCAGACGTGATTTTATTGGACTTCCCAGGAACGCCTCAAGAGGCCTTGCAGCTTCCCCTCTCATCCTCTTGCTGTCCTGAGGCCACCACATAAAGAAGCCTGAGCTTGCCTCTTAGAGGATAAAAGACCATGTGGAGAACGAAGCCCAGCCGACAGCCAGCACCAACCCCCAGACCTGTGAGCGAGGTCATCTTGGACTACCCAGACTAGTTGAGCCATCAGAGTGTTGCAGTCACATAAGTGACCACAGGGAAGACCACCAAAACAACCACCCAACAGAGACCTGCCCAGAGAATCATAAGCCATAAAATGACTATTGTTGCCAGGCACGGTGGCTCATGCCTGTAATCTCAGCACTCTGGGAGGCTGAGGCAGGAGGGTTGCTTGAGCCCAGGAGTTTGAGACCAGCCTGGGCAACATAGTGAGACCTTGTCCCTATTTAAAAAAAAAAAAAAAGCCAGGCATGGAGATGTGCACCTTTAGTCCCAGCTACCCACAAAACTGAGGTGGGAGGATCGTTTCAGCCCAGGAAGCAGAGCTTACATAAGCCAAGATCACGCCACTGCTCTCCAGCCTGGGTCACAGAGGAAGACCTTGTCTTAAAATAAATTTTTTTAAAAAGACTATTGTTTTAACCCATTAAACTTTGGGGTGGTTTGCTACATAGTAAAAGCAAATATAATGTGACATTTTATAGACATTTCAATAACTTGTTTAATGCATTGATTGTTTTCCCTGCTTGGGAGCCAATAAACCTTTTTATTCAGATCTCAATGAGTCATGGGCCCCTCAGAAGGGGCTAAATCAGCCCTAAAAGTAACAATGTCTCTAAGGACCCTACTGAGATTGAATAGAAGTCAAGGGTTGATCCACAATCCAAACTCCAGGGAGGGCAACCCGCAGCAGGTGCACGAGGAACCTGACCTAATGTACAACACGGAGGAGGAGTCATTTCCAAACTTCAGACAGCTCCTGAGGGACACAGAAGACTCTCCAACACCCCAAACCTAGGCAAGACTCCAATCTTTCTGGCTATGAGAGGCTCGATAATAGCCCCCTGGTACCGATGACTATGTTATCTCCTATGGGAAAAGGGAGTCAGCAGATGTGATTAAATTAAGGATCTTGAGATGGGGAAATGATTACACAAGTAGGCCTAATAAGAGGTCCTCATACAAGTGTCCTTAGAAAGGGAATGGGAGGAGGAGGGGCAGAGTCAGAGAAGGGATGTGGCAATGAAAGCAGGGGCTGGAGTGATGGGCTTGGAAGATGGAGGAAGGGGCCACGATCCAAGGAATGCAGGTCACCTCGAGAAGTTTGAAAAGGCAATGAAATGGATTATCCCCTAGAGCCTCCAGAAGGAATACAGTTCTGCCAACACCTTGGTTTTAGCCCAGGGAGACCCATTTTGGACTTATTCCTGACTTCCAGAAATGTAAGATAATAAATTTGTATGGTTTTCAGCCATTAAATTTGTGGTAAGTTTTACAACAGCAATAGGAAACAAATGTACTGGATAATTCCTCCTGCCTACAAGAATGTAAGTTGGGACATTTATTCATAATAACAATAACAGCCAATAATAATTGCTCATATTAATTCAATGTCTACTTCATGCCCGGCTCTACTCTGAGTGCTTTTCATATAAAAACTCATTTAATTCTCATAAAGGCCATATGAAGAAGAGACTGTTATAATCCATACTTTACAGATGAGAAAAACTGAGGCTTTATGGGGTTAAGTAACTTGCCAGGGTCACAGAGCAGGTCAATGACACAGCACAGATTTGAACCCAGGCAGTCTGGCCCCAGATCTCACATTTAACCACTACGCTTCCCAAATCAACCTAACAATGATAATAAAATGACTGGAAGTTACTGAGAGCCCTCTGTGTACCAGGCTCATACCTAAGCTCATTACAAATACTCTCTCATTTCATTCTCACAGCACCCCAGTAGAGCAGAGATTATTAATCGTCCTTGTCTACAGCAGAAAAAACAGATGCAGCAACGTTAAACCCAGATGTTACAAGCATCTGAGACCAAAGCCCAGGTTTACCTGCACACCCTACTGCCTCCCTCATCCGTCTTGAGGCCCGGATGGCTGAGAAGACAAAGATAAGGAGCGCAACCACATAATTCACCTTCCAAACTGAGATACTTAGAAGGTGAAAGATATCATTATTACTAATTTCACTAGGAAAAGAGGCATAAACTAGAACTATTCCAGCAAACCAGGACATATGGCCACCCTAAAAATAAGGGGACTAAAATCAAGGCAAAAACTCTGCAGCTCAGGATTGCCCAGAAGGGGTGCCATGGAGCAGCTGCCAGCCCCGCAGGACATCTGCGGCTGCCAGGTCACGGTCAAGGCTGGAAGAAGAGGGGTGGTCCTGGCAGAGCTCAGAGCAGCATCTGCAAAGCTGCAGCCTGGGAGTCATTTGCAATGACAGGAACGCAGCAAGGATCAGCAGGGCCCGCTTCAGTGGGGCAGGTTTCAATTCTGAGCACTGCCTGTGCTTCCTTGGTCGTCTCCTCGCTGGCCCCGCTCACTCCTGGGGATGCCCAGGCCTGGGGGTGCCCGCAGTGGCAGGCGCTCACTCATTCCCTGCCACACGCTGCTCATTCATTAAAAGCCCCTGATTCCTCCCCGCTGTTCTAATTATGCACAGCAGTAATAAAGATGCTTTCTCCCTTACCAAAGAGGCCTATTTATATGAAAAGAGAGCATTTCGCCCCCACAAGATTGAGTCGTCACTCCAGGCCTTATTGGAATCAAAGCAGCTTCTCTTCTGAGATTGTCCAAGCCCTGCCTGACTCCCCTCCAGCTTGGCCCACTCCTGAGCATCCACATTTCCAGGAGCACCACTGCGGAGTGGGCAAGATGTAGACGCCATTGCCCTCTGCTGTGTTCCCTCATGTCTTGCTGACTGACACTCAACAAAAAGTAAGACATTTATTGAACACCTACTAGTGTCCTTAGTAAAAAAAAATGGAAATGAAAGACATAGTCCACGCCTTTCTCGGAAGAAAGAGCATTGAGAGAAACAGCACAAGATTTTAGGCTCCATGGCTGACTCATATCCCAACTCCAGCATTCACTGGTTGGGCAAGTTAGCAAGTTTTTCAAAGCCCTCAATTGCCTTATCAGCAAAATGGGGTAATAATAATGCCAGCCTCACAGGGTTGCTGGAGGAGTCAATGAGATACAGGCATACAAAGCTGGCATATCGTAGGGCCTCAACAAACACTAGTTGGAATTATCAACCATTAAGTACCGAAGGCTTTGGGACCACACAGGCAGATCTCATCCCGATGGATGAGCCCAGGAAGGCTTCCTGAGAGGTGATACCTTAACTGAGTTTTGAAGGATGAGTAGGACCTTGCTAAACAAAGAGAGGATGTCCCAAGCAGGGAGGACTGCATGTGTCCAGGGCCAAAGGCGATCACAAGGCTCTGGGAAACACAAGACACTGTGTAGGGACATACACAGAAGGCATGGGAGGACCACCAAGGCGGCAGACAAGTTGCAGCAGCAGATGTTGACACGGAAGTGGATCCCATAGCCAGAACCCTAACCTGCAATGCCCAGAGCATCACCCTGACCTTTGCTTACTTCCTTTGGGGGCTATAACCAGCGCCCTGTCACTACCATCTACAGCTTGGTGGCTGAAGGAAGTAGGGCAGCCACTCTCTATTAGCCGCAGGCCTACTCAACACAAGTCCCTGAGGGCCTATGACATGCCAGGCACATGCCAGGAGAGGCTGTTCAGCTTGACCACCTGGGGCCTGCATCCCATGGCCTAGGTCCTTACCTAGGCCCCCTTCCAGCTGTGCGCTGCTAGGACTGTCAGCTTTTTCCTCTGTGAAATGGGGATCACAGGGCGTCCTTCATAGTCATTCATTCAACAACAAACGTGGTCAGGGCTAAATGAGATAACTCAATATTCCCAGGTTTCAGCACACACTAAGTCCTCAATAAAAGTGAACGTTTAAAATGTTTATTTTTATTAAGATGAACCTCCAGGATGGCATCTCCAAAGCCCAATGCCAGGCCTCGAGAGATACCCTCAACCCAGGCAAAACTGCCTGCCCACCATCCCTCTCCTCAAGCCCGTGCCCTGGAAAAAATGACTTGGTTTCCACTCTTCATGTCTAGCCCTGACTTGGTCACCATAGGAGCCATCCCTGTCCGAACCACTCTGTCCACCCCCAATTCATCTCACCCTTCTAGGGCTCCATGTGTCAACCCACTCAGGTCATGCGGGAGGGGGCAGGATTGAAGGTCATCTCAAATTTTGCTGTCCAACACCCAGACCCTCAAGTGTGGCCCTTCAGATTTTGTAAATTAAGTAATTTAAACATCTTATTAAGAAAATTTGCAAACATACACAAAGTAAGCAGAATAGTAATGAACCGCCGCTCCCCATCACCCAACTACCACATTTTGCCATTCTTGTTTCATTGGCACGCACCTCTGCCCACTCCCCACCCCACCCCAACTGCACTTGTTGGAGAAGATTTCATGGCCAGCCTTTCTGACACCACCCCCCAACACCACCTACCCACCAGCAAACCCCTCCCCAACCCAGGACTGCCACTGCTCACAAATTCCAACAGTGTGATATTTGTGGCACCCATCCTTTTGTACCAAAAACATTCTGGAAATCCTTCCCAGGAAGCACAACCATTTTTTTATGTCCTTAATAGAGTGGTAACCACTGCACACATGCATAAGGGCTGTATGCACAGGTTGGTGCCCTGGAATCAGATGGCCTGGGTCCCAAACAACACTTCCCAGATGTGTGACCTTGGATAGGTCACTCAACCTGTGTTTGGATTTCCCACCCAGGAAGGGGAGAATGCTGGTAACAGGTTTGTTGTGAGCCTTTAAAACAATAAAATAATGCACGCTCTTTTCCCAGCAATGAGGAAACCTTAGAAATAAGTGTAGGGGCCAGGGGCAAGCCAACTCTGCTCCTATGCAATACTATTCACATCCTCCATTTTACAGATAAAGGGAGAGGTGCCCAGAGGCACAGTGAGCTGCCAGGGACAGCCCGCTCTTCAGGTTGGTCTCTGTCCTAAGTCCATGCACCTGGAATTCTCACTGGCCACCTTGAGCTGGAGATGACTGGAAGTGAAGAAACAAATACTCCAGAACAAACGCAGAAGAGCGGTGGCAGGTGGCTCGGCACACCAGGTATGGGTGTCCCCATCCTGGACAGGATTTCTCCCAGCACCGTGTGTGTGTGTGTGTGTGTGTGTGTGTGTGTGTGTGTCTGTGTGTGTGTGTGTGTGTGCGTGTGTGTGTGTGTTAGGATAGGGGTGCTGAATTTGATTTACAAGACAAAACAGTGTTGGGAAAGGTGTGGGGAGTGGGTACACATTCCTGCCCACTTCTGATTTGACAAATCCTATGCCCAACCTTGTATTTGGTATCATCGCCCACCCTATCCCAGCATGAGAGGCAAGAAACTGGCTCAGTAATTCTCAGGCTTTAGCAATTCAACGCCCCTACTTATCGTCCTAAAAATTTTTTTATTTTCTGACTTAAAGGAAAAAAGTAAAAAAAAAAAAAAAAAAAAAAAAAAGAGTCAATCCAGTTGCTGAGTGATGTTCAGACAAAGACAGCTGCCAGTCCATTGCCTGCGTTCACCAGCTGAGGAAGAGTACAGGCGGGGACTGGGTGTGTGTTTGGGGACGGCCTGGGCTCTCCGCTGCCTCTCCCTGGAGTGAGCCCTGTCAGGATCCCCCACCCGCCACCCTGCACTCCCCCACCACTGCAGTGCCGCGTGGGGAGGCACCTCCCTGATCCGCAGGAACAATGGGCTGGGGTGGGGGCAGGTGCGGCTTGGAGTGCAGCAGAGGGTGGGGGCCGCAGGCCCGACAGCAAGACAGGGAACCCAGCGCAGATGGTGGCTGTGCTGCCACTGGACTCAGTTTCTCCAGCTTTTGGGGCCCCGCAGAGCCAAGCGCTCGTTTCGTGGCTGAATCTCCCTTGCGTCCCGGCATTTTAATATCATCCTCGCAGGCGGCTTGCCTGTCGCTCCCGGGAAAGATGCCTGGGCCGCGCTCCTCTCCCCGGCGGCCGCTCTCGCCGAGGCCCTGCAGGTCAGGGACGCGCGGCGCCTCCATGCGCCCAACTTTCCCCACTTGGGACCCACAGGAAGACTGGAATCCTGGCCAGCCGGGCCCTCCGTGGGAGAAGCCTTGATTTACAGCCCTGGGCTCCGAAACCTGCTCGTCCTCTTCCCGCAACCCCCTTCCCCGTCCTCTCCGGCTCCCCCACCCTTCGGAGCCCTAATCACGCTCCCCAAAGAAAGCGGCCCTAGCACATCTGCAAAATGCGAGCGTCTGTCCTCCGCACTGGGTGCCTCCCCCTGCCCCCCGCAAGGAAGGGACCATCGAACCCCCGCCGCTTCACCCTTCCCCAGCCCAGTGAGTCCCTGGGGATGGGCGGGGAGGTGGGTGAGAAGCCCTTCGGCCGCAGCTGCAGCCCCCACTCCTGGCTCGAGCGTCCGGCCGGGGTGGGATGGGGCGAGGGAACAGGTCCAAATCTCCGATTTCCCCCAGGCTCCCACTCCTGCCTCGCTGAGTCACGAAAATTACCCGCTGGGGCCACCCGGCCACCCGGCGGCGGGCCCTTTACCCAGCCAGCGCCGGCCTCCGCAGCCCATCGCGCGGGGGCTGCACACGCGGGGCGGTCCTCACCCGCACGCGCGACCAGCCCCGCAGGAGGCGCCACCCGAGGCAGGGACCAACCAGGCGCCTCAGCGGGGGCTGCAGTCCCCGCCGCGGAGTCCGCACCCTGGCGGGGCGCAGAACATGTGACCCGCGGGCCGTCTCCGGTCCACCGGACCCCGGCCCCCGGCCCCGCTGCTGCTGACCCCGGCCCCGCCCGCCAGAACTGGATGCAGCGCGGGCGTCCCCACTTTTCCACGGCGCGCGAGGGGGTGCGGAGCGTTGGGCCAAGCGCGCCTCCTCCCTCCCTGCCCCGCCAGCCGCGGCCGCAGGACCCGCAGCCTGCGCTCACCTCGGGGCCCGTCGCTGCCGCCGGCCTCCTTGTCCGCCATGGTCGCGCAGCCCCGGACCGCGAGGGGAGCCTCCAGCGCAGCGCCCGTGCCCGTGCGGGTCTCTGTCCGCGTCCGCGGCGGCGCTCGGGCCGTGTCTGAGCCGCCGGGCAGCGGGAGCGCTGCTCTGACGCGGCAGCCGCCGCAGCCACGGCTCCTCCCCGGGCCCCGCCCCGGCCCGCCCGGCGCCCCGCCCCTCCGAGCTCGGGCCGGCCGGGAAAGGTCGGGGAAGGCGGGCGCGGGGAACTGCCTGGCTCCGGAGCTGCGCTCCCCGCCCGCCCAGAGCGGCCCGCCGAGGCCCGGCCTCTCCTCTCCCGGCTTCGGGACCGAGCGGTCGCCCCGCAGTCGACCGCGGCGGGGGTAGTGGCGCGCCCGGGGCTGCGCTGCGGGAGCGGATTTCAGGCCCTCGGGGCCCCGCGGCGCGTCCCCTCTTTGGAAGTCACCGAATGGCCAGGCCTGGAGCCCTTCAGCAAGCCCAGCGCGCCCGGCGCTCTCCCGAGGACGCCCGCGCCAGTCCCCACCAGCTTCTGTCTGTCCCCCAGGGTCCCAGGGGAGCGGCCCTGGGCCGGCGCAAAGGCGGGCTGGGTGGACCCCGGCGCGGGCAGGACCCAGGCCGCAGACCAAGGACCTGCGCGGGGGCCGAGCCCGGGGCACCGCCTCCAGGCCGCCTGCGGGACTCCATGGCAACTCCGGACCCAGGGAGGTGCTTGCCCCGGAGGCTGAGTCGCGCCTTCCATATATGGGATCCAGCTGGGCCCTCCTTAGAAGTCTGAGAATAACGATATTAATAATGCAAGGCTTCAGTTGTGAATGATTCATACTCCCTGTCCCCAGCTCCTCCACACACACGCGCCGCTGGCACCTGTTTGGGCCTGGCCAGGCACCCCCTGGGTCCGCGGTGTCACCACCCTGCCTTGGCAAACGAGGGCAGTAATAGGAATCCGAGGAGCACCGTCACTGGGTCGTTTCCGGGTGCCTGGCACTGTGCTACCTGCCTGGTGCTTTACCTCTATCTCCTTTCCTCCCCATAACTAACATTTTGCAGATAAGGAAGCTGAGGATCGGCAGGGTTACAATATCACACCCAGCAGGTGAGTCGCGGAGCTGGGATTCCCACCCAGCTGTAACCACCAGCATCCCTCACTTCCAGAGATGGGTGGCATTTCCCAAAGATCACCTAGGGGAGGCTTCATCGTACAATCCCGTTCTGGATGACGGAGTGGGCAGAGAGCTGCTGCGAGAGCGTTATGGATGACGGAATGGGCAGAGAGCTGCTGCGAGAGCCTGGAGACCAGAAGGTGATGGCAGAGTGACAAGTTCAAAACACAAAACTTGTCTTCTGTCTGCCTGCATTAAAAATCCCAAATGGACAGTTCCTGGCTGTGCATGAAACCACAGTCAAGTTATTTAACCTATCTGAGCCTCAATATTCTCATCTGCGAAATGGGTATAACAGGAGAACCCACTTCATAAAACTGAAGATTAGATAGACTATGCATGTAACATGCTTAGCTTGGGATCTAGCACATGGTAAAAATCATTAAGTCACTGATGGCCCCCGAGGGCCCTTCCTGCCTACGTGCCTGCGACAGCCTGCCCACAGCTCCCCCGCCCTCCTGTCTCACCCCTTCAGTCCATGCTTTGTGATCTGGTCTGTCCCCACCCTACTCCAGCTCCAGCTACAGCCGCTCTGATTCTTCAATCCCTCTCACCCACCCCTGCTTCTCTTATGCTGGTATTTCAAAGACATGAAAATGTGCTTGATGCCTGGATCACCCGTCCTCTCATTTCACCACCACCAGCAACCTAAGAACTTCTCCTTCTCATCATGGACTGCCCAACTCCAGGAAGGCTCCCCTGCATACCCATGCTGGCCAGGGGGGCCCTCCTCAGTGTCCTCAAGGCACTCGTTCCTCCCCATCAGACCAGGGCATCAGGACATTGGCCTTGACAGCCTGTCAGAAGCAGCAGAAACCCGTAGCCCCTGCACATCTGCCTCCTGCTGTGGAAGGGCCTTGGGCGCCACGTGCCCTCATGGGACTCCCAGCCACAGTGACATGAGGGTGCGTGAGAAGGATGGGAGGTGACATGCAGGCCCCAGTGCTGGGGGCAGAGAGCAGAACACTTTTGATTTGCAGGGGAGCATGAAAGGCAGCGCACACTCTGCCTGGGATTTGCCCTCACGGCCTTCATGCTCATCACACTAATTACAACGCGCCCTGCTGAGCACACCATCCAGCCCGCCAGCGAGGGGCTGTTGTGGTCTCACCTAGTTCTCATGGTGGCCCTTGCGGTTTTGCAGGAGAGGAAAAGGAAGCATTCAAAGGCTGAGGCACCTGTTCAGGCATCCTCTGGCCATCAGCAGCAAGGCTGGGGTTCAAGGCTCAGCACGCCACATCAAGGAAGGGTTCCCACCTTCCTCCCTGGAGTCTTCTTCCCCAATAGCAGCCAGAGAGAGAGCATGTCATTCTCCTGCTACCAGGTCCTACACAAATTGGCCTCCTGATGCCTCAGTGACCTCAGCTCCTTCCACTCTCCCATTCCCCCCAAAGCCCAAACACACACAGGCCCCACCTGGGGGGTCACTCCCCCGGACACATCCTTCAAGAGAATCAATCACGTGGCTTGCTCCTCCCAGAACACTCTATCTAAAACTGCTGCCTCGCCCCCACTGGGAAGTAAGTCCCAGGAGAGCAAGATCGTGGACTGTGTTGCCAGTTCTGCATCTCTGTGTCTAGAACAGCGCCTGGTACATGGCAGGCACTTAATAAATCCTTGATGCTTGACTGGCTGAATCAGTAAGTGAAGCGGGAACACAGCCCAGCACACAGACATTCTGCTGACCCCCAGGGCTCATGCCTTTCCACAGCCCCAGCTGTCTCAGGGCACGCCCAGACTCCTGGGAGGTTGCTCTGTACCAAGTTCCCTCAAGCTCCCCTCCAAAGACTCCTCCTCACAGTGCTCTCTGTGGGTACACTGCAGCACCCTCTATACCATCTCTTCTCCACCCTCCACACCCTCCACAGGCTGTAGACTGTGGTAGCTGGTGGAGAGAATGTTACACATCTCGGTTGGATACTCAAGTCCTAAAAAGTGGCCCAGCCCAGAGCCAAGTGACCACCTTCTAGTTCCCTTCCTGCTGGTCACTCCAGCTTCAAGGGCCTGCCCTCAGGTCCCCAAAGAGCCAGTGCCTCCACTGGAAGCCGATTCTCCTCTAGTTTTGCCAGGTAACCAACCCTGTCTCTTCCTACAGGCCTCAGCTTGGATGGCACTTCCTCCAGGACACCACCTAGCCCTCCAAGATCACATGAGGCCCCTCCTCTCTCCTCTGTGCCCAACCCCCCATCACTCCTATCTTAGCACTTATCACAACAACTCCAAGGTCAGTAGTATTGTTAACCCCATTGTACAGATGACCAAACTGAGATACAGAAAGGTCACTGAGCTCAGAAGCTGCAGTGCTGAGACTAGACCTCTGAGACCAGAACTCAGGTCTCTCCAGCTTCAGGTCACCCACCTCCCCCTCTAGCTGCCAGCTCTCCAAAGTGGGACCAGCCATGTCCACATTTAGAGCCCCCAGACCCTAGGATGGTGCCTGGCGCAGAGAGCAAAACATTGATGGAAAACAGCCTCCTCAGCTTCAGGCCTTTCTCATCCTCTCCGGGATCCCGTTCACCCACAGCCCCACACACGCTTCCCTGCCAACAGACTCCCTCTCTGCTCTTCAGCCCCCAAACAAACCCCCACCACATCCATTCATGCAAATAGAAGTCAGAGTCCAGAGGCAGGCCCAGCTAACTGCACCAGACAGCCAGGGCACTCTGTCACCTGCTATAACTACCAACTGTGGAAAGGGCTGGACATGATGCACAGCATGGGTAGGGGAGGCAGCTGAGTCCTCTGGCCCCCAGCTCAGAAGAAACTGAGGATAATTGTTGATGGACCAGATGCTAAGGGCAGTGAGCCCTGGGGGATGCATCAGGACCAAGAATGAGAAAAGTACAACAGGAGGAAGCAGAGAGCATGGGGTCAGCTGGACCAGGGCTCAAGTGGGCTCAGCTGCTCCCTGCCCACCTCAGGGGACCTGGGACATACCTCTCTGGGTCTGTTTCCTCACCTGTCAAAAGGGCCCAGTAATGATAGGTATCATAATTATAAGAGATCATATATGTAAAACATTCCATTTAGAGTCAGCCTATATATGCCACTGTTAATATGACTTATTTAATTTATATATTTGAACACAAAAATGCCATTTCCTTGTATATTATAAATTACAGAATGGATCCAGGCAAGATTTTCTTGGCTGATAAAGACACACAGAAGATATGAGTAGCTTTTTCCATTTTAATTTTTCTTTTATGTTTTTGTTAAGCTTAAGAAACACTGATATGAGTTCATATCTGAACTTTGACATAGGACACTGCCCGTCAAAGCTGCTTTGGACTTTAGGATATGCCAGCGGAACGTTGTCCATGAACTGAATATCATAAAAGAGACTAATTCATAACAGGACCAAGATTCAGATTTGCTAAAGCAACATAAAAACTTGCAGAGAAAACCTGGGCAAATGTCAGCCGCCTTGACCTCCAACTGTCAGTGCATTTTAAAAAGCCAGCCTTACAGCTGAATCATGGTGGCCAGTGTATACATCCTCCCCACCTCACTGGTCTTCCAGTCCATCTGGTGTGAATCGGTCTCTCCATTAACATTCCAAAACAACCTTCACATGTACAATGTGAGCTGCTGAGCCACTCTTTCAGGCAAAAATTCAAGGGCCAGAGGAAATTATTGCTCCAAATATCACCATCACTCAGGACTGCAATGTAAACTTTAGAAATGCCTTCTCAGGTAATGGAAGGTTATCCAAATATTTTTCGTAAGTATTTCAAATAGCAATGGCTCGTCTATGGTTAGTCTCGCAGCCACATTCTCAGAACTGCTCAAACCCTGGCCCTGCAAAGCTGCCGGTTCATTAATAAGACGGGACATCCCGGAAGCCACATCTCAAGGAGGACAATGCAAACTGAGACAAAGGTTCAGAGAAGAGAAACTGGCATGATCACGTGACCAGGAGAGTTTTCACAAGGGCTGCAACTCACCAGACACTATGAGAGCCAAGGGTTTCATGTTATGGAGAAAAACAACTTTCCTCTTCTCCAGCCCACAGCCCAGTGCCTGGCTTGCAGTAGGTACTCAGTAAATGTTTGTGGATGGAATGAATAAATGGTCCAGTAAATAAATAATGGAGGCTGGGCATGGTGGCTCATGCCTGTAATCGCAGCATTTGGGGAGGCCGAGACGGGTGGATCACTTGAGGTCAGGAGTTTGAGACCAGCCTGGCCAACATGGTGAAACCCCGTCTCTACTAAAAATACAAAAATTAGCTGGGCATGGTGGTGCGTGCCTGTAATCTCAGCTACTTGGGAGGCTGAGGCAGGAGAATTGCTTGAACCTGGGAAGTGGAGGTTGTAGTAAGCCAAGTTTGCACCACTGCACTCCAGCCTGGGCAACGAGAGCAAAACTCCATCTCAAAAAAATAAAAAATAAATAAATAATGAAGTAGAAACATGGGCTCAGAGATACTAAACCTCTTGTTCAAAGTCACACAATCAGTGACAGAGCTACGGTCAAACTCAGCCCCCTGACTCCCAGCCCAGCTTAACCCTTGACCCTTGTTGGCCTCTTCTGCAAAATACAAAGTGGAAGATAGCTTGTGCTAGCTGTGATTACTTGGTGATGACTCACTGGGGCATGTCTGCACAGTTGTGTTCTTCCTGGTAGCAAGCCCATGGTCACAGTATTTGCCTGGAGGAGAGGTACAGGCAGCATACAGCTGAGGAGAAGGAGACCAATGACCTAGAATAAGGGTGTTATCTGAGCCAGAGGGCTGAGAGCTTCAACAGCAGTGTCCAAGAGCAATGCTTGCACAAGTCTCCAAAAACCCCAGAGTTAGGAATGCACACTAAGTCACCATCCTCATTGCTACTCTTCTCAGGGAAACCAGCACTTTTCTCAGTGACTTCTGCAAGAGTGAGCCCAAATATTGTCTATCTTTGGGTCACTGGATGTGTTAGTCCATTTTCACACTGCTGACAAAGACATGCCTGAGACTGGGAAGAAAAAGAGGTTTGATGGACTCACAGTTCCACATGGCTGGGGAGGCTTCACAATCATGGCAGACAGTAAGAAGGAGCAAGTCACATCTTACATGGATGGCGGTGGGCAAAGAGAGAGAGCTTGTGCAAGGGAACTCCTCTTTATAAAACCATCAGATTTCATGAGACATATTCACTACACAAGAACAGCATGGGAAAGAGCTGCCCTCCTGATCCAATTACCTCCCACTAGGTCCCTCCCAAGACATGTGGGAATTGTGGGAGCTATAATTCAAGATGAGATTTGGGCGGGGACACAGCCAAACCATATCACTGGGTTCCTGGTGGCAGCCCTGTGGGAGCTGGGACCAGTCACTTGTCCCTGGGCCTCAGTCTCCTCATCTGCAGAGCAGACCCAGCTCCTCTCCCTTCCTCACCCCCTGCTGTCTGCTTTCCTACCTTGTGTCATCCCACTGATTCACCTTGAAGGGCAGCTCCTGAGAAGGACCCTCCCCACCCAACCTATGGTTCCATATATTATGCCACCCCATTTCTCCACGGCACTTTTATAAGAGCCAAGGGTTTCACGTTATAGAGAAAAATGACTTTCCCCTTCTCCAGCCCATAGCCCAGTGCCGAATGACTTTAAATGGCTTTAAAGTCATTTTGCAAATCTGTTTATGGTGAGCCTTCCTCACTTGCTGGGCTCTTCCTACCAGCAGTGGTGAGAATGAACATTTATCAAGCACCTGCTATGTGCTGGGCATTGCTCTGGGAACCTCACATCCATTGCCCCATTTATCTTCATGACCGTGTAGATGAGAGAACTATATTGTTAATGTCCCCCATTTTACAGGTAAGGAAACTGAGGCCCGGAGATCAGGTACTCAGCTGTTGTGACCTAAGAAGAAAGTGGCAGAGGAAGAATTTGCCCCACGGCATTCTGAGCTCAAGAACACGTTTGTCTGTCATGCCTTCATCTGTGTGCAGCAATGTCCCCAGCTCCTAGCGCAGCACCTGGCACATGGCAGGGCCTCAAGAAACGTGTTGAATGAATGAACAAATTATCAAATTAGAAGACAGAATTACAGTTCACAAAGCACCCTTATATCTCTCCTCTCGCTTGACTCATGTAGCGGCACTGAGGGGGAAACATCACTATTCCCGAGTTTTTTAAGATGAGAAAACCAAAGGTCCAGTGAGACCAGGAGCAACCTTGCCTGGAGGTGGATTCTCCATGGGCTGCTTTAGGCTATTTTGTTTCTTTCAGATCTTGTGCTTTATTTAAAAGTTGTGGGCTCTATGTCTAGCGAAGGATGCAGGTCTCTGTTCTGCAGGACAGGGTTTGTTAAAGTTGTCAAGAATAAGGCCTGCTTTAAGAGATACAAAGTGAAATTTAGAAGACAAGAGGGTAAAATGGATTACTGTGCTTGGAAATGCTTGGCAATACAGGATAAAAATAAGTACAACATGCCCAAATACAGGATGATCGCTCACATAACTAACACAGAGAGTGTTTGTCACATTGCTTATGCCTGTATGGAAGGGGATATGATAATGTGTGTACCTTATGCTCATGAGCTACCAAAACATGGTGTGAAGGTTGGCCTGACAAATTATGCTGCGGCACATTGTCCTGGCCTGCTGCTGGCCTGCAGGCTTCTCAATAGGTCTGGCATGGGCAAGATCTATGAAGGCCAAGTGGAGGTGACTGGTGATGAATACAATGTAGAAAGCACTTATGGTCAGCCTGGTGCCTTCACCTGCTATTTGGATGCAGGCCTTGCCAAAACTACTTCTGGCAATAAAGTCTTGGGGGGCCTTGAAGGGAGCACAGATGGAGGCTTGTCTACCCCTCATGGTACCCAATGATTCCCTGGTTATGATTTTGAAAACAAGGAATTTAATGCAGAAGTGCATCGAAAGCACATCATCAGTCAGAATGTCGTGGATTATACGCATTTCCTAACAGAAGAAGATGAAGATGCTTACAAAAAACAGTCCTCTCAATACATAAAAAAACAGCATAACTCCAGGCATGGAGGAGGTGTAGAAGAGAGTAACGCTGCTATGCAACAGAATACAGTCTATGGGAAGAAACCCAAGAAAGAAGTTTAAATAAAGAGAGGGGCCGGGCTCCGTGGCTCACACCTGTAATCCCAGCACTCTGGGAGGCCAAGCGGGAGGATTGCTTGAGCCCAGGAGTTTGAGACCAGGCTGGGCAACATAGGGAGACCTCGTCTCTACAGAAACTAAAAATTAGCTAAGCATGGTGGTGTGTGCCTGTCATCCCAGCTACTTGAGAGGCTGAGGTGGGAGGATCGCTTTAGCCTCGGAGGTCGAGGTTGCAGTGAGCTGAGATCGTACCACTGCACTCCAACTTGAGTGACAGAGCAAGATGAAGAAAGAGGAAGGAAGAAGGACGAGGAGGAAGAGGAAGAACATGAAGAAGAAGAAGAAGAAGAAGAAGGAGGAGAAGAAAAATGAGAGGAAGAGGAAGAGGAATAGGAAGAAGGAGGAGGAGGAGGGAAAGGAGGAGAAGGAGATGAAGAAAAGGAAGAGAGAAGGAAGAAGAAAGAAGAACTAGTAGTGGGTGACAATGGCAAAACTGTCCCAAAATGTCCCTTGCTCAGAAGAAAGATCAGGTAGCTCAAAGGAAGGTGTGCTTCCTCAGAGTTCAGGATCAGGCTGCTGAGAGCTAAACCAAACAACAATTTTCCATGAGGATTTTTCAAATAAAGACAATGAACTTATGGACCAACCAGCAAAAAATAAATAAATAAGTAAAAATTAAAGTTGCATGTACATTTTGCATGTACATAATGCAATGTACATTTTGCATTATTGTGGAATGCATATGCGTTGTGCACTCCACAATATATCTGTTTTCTCAACAAAACTAACATCTTAGATTTCCATTACTTGTTTCTAAAATGTTTTATTGTGAAAAATTTCAAGGATCCAGAAAAGCAGAGAGAATGCTATAAGGACCCCTCAGGTACCCATCACCCAAATTAATTTGTAAAAATCAACTCTAAGTAAAATTGCTTTCCCAGGAAAAACAGTAACAGTTGCTATCATTTACAGTTCATGTGTAAATATGCTGACACGGTTTGGATGTTTGTCCCCTCCAAATCTCATGTTGAAATGTGACTCCCAATGTTGGAGGTGGGACCTGGTGGGAGGTGTTTGGGTCAAGGGGACAGGTCCCTCATAAATGGCTTGGCTTAGTACCATCCCCTTGGTGATGAGTGAGTTCTCAGTTCACTGACTCCTCCTCTGCTCTCTCCTGCTCTTGGTCCTACCATGTGTTGTGCCCGCTTCCCATTTGCCTTCACCATAATTGTAAGCTTCTTGAGCCTCACCAGAAGCCAAGCAGATGCCAATGCCTTGCTTTCTGTTCAGCCTGCAGCACCGTGAGCCATTTACACTTCTTTTCTTTATGAATCACCTAGTCTCAGCTATTTCTTTATAGCAACACAAAAATGGACCGACACGTATGCTCACTTAGTTTTCACAGTTCTCCCTCTAAGAAGTCCACACTTATGTTGGCCTCTATTTCAGATGGGGACGTTGGGGGTGGTGAGGTCAAGTCACCTGCTGGAAGTCTTGGGGCTAGAAGGGGCAGAGCCAGGAGTCACCCAGAGCCGGTCTGCTTAACCACCAAGTAGCCCTGCCAAGAGCCTGGAGGTCAAGTAAGTGCTTTAAAACAATTCAAGGAAATGGGGCTATGCCCTCTTTCTTTGAAGTCTAAAGTTTGCATTAAAGTCACATGGTTTCTGAATTATCCCATAGCAAGTCAGCCAAGACACCTGGTCTTTCCTTCATCCTCCCCTCATTTATTCTCATTCAGCCTCTCTCTCACTTATTCATCCTATCCGTCAATCATTCTCTCCTTCCATCAGACATGTGCTGCAACATAAAATCTAACCAGACACAGGCCCAGCCCTCAAGTAGCACCCAGACCTTGTGAAAAAGAGAGAAACAAACACAACCAAAATTCAAGGCAGACTTCAACCAGTACCCTCATGTATGAAATTTACAAGAAAATTTCACCTATCTTCTGCTTCAGGGAGCAAAAGAGCAGGGTGCAAGGAGTGCAGTAGTTAAGGATGTGGGTTAGGGAGTTAGATTATACTTGCTCCATCCCCGCCTAGCTGTGTGGCCTTGAGTGACTCATCTACCCTCTCTGATTCACTTGTAAAAGAAGATTGACATGAACCCTTTTATACTAGGGCCATTGGAACATTTCCTTAGATAATGCTTAACCCAGTTTCTGCAACAAAGGAATCTCTCCATCAATGTTAGCCATTATAACTGGCCATTACCTATAGCCCACTCTCAGTAATGACTCCTGACCTGCCTGAGTGAGGCAGGAGCTTTGTAAGAGAATGTATGCATTTGCAAGCCAGCTAGGATATTTTCCTTAACAGAATTTTCTCAGAAAGTCTGTAAATCAAGAAAATAAATGACACAAAAAATAAAAGTCCTCAGCCTTCCCTACTCAGCTGGCCAAGGGATGTTGGCCACGTGTGGGAAGTACAATCTGGTGGTCAGCGGAGCAGGGACAAAGATGCCCTGTTGTTTCACAGCCTGGCGCTGGCATGCTGGTATGCTGGCACAAATTCCATGATCCTGCAGGGCAAACCCATGGCAGTGGGGCCAGGATGGTCAGGGCAAGGCCTGCGGGCTCAGACAGGCCTGTGTCCCATTCAGCCTCTTTCCAGGACATCCCTCTTCCTGGGTAAGGACCAAGAGGACCCTGAAAAGACACCTGGCACACTGAGCACTTCACTAGCTGCAGTTATCACTATGATCAGTGGTGAGATAACACCCAGCCTGGGCTCAGGATCCCTGGCTCCAAGACCAGGTTCTGTCTTTTGCTGTGTGGCTTTGCACAGGTCACCTAACCTCTCTGATGCCCAGTCTCCCCATCTGTAGAATGAGGACAAAAATCATACTTATTCTTCCTGCCTCATCCTGCCTGTCATAGACCTGGAGTGGAATCCCAACTTTGCTGCTTCTTAGTTTGTGATCTTAGTTACTGTAAGCCTTATTTTCCTCATCTGTGAATGGGAATAATTATGGCACCCACCTCCCAGAGCACAAATTCCATGATCCTGTAGGGCAAACCCCTGCAAAGAGTCTGAAAGTAAAGTAAGTGTTCTAAAAGAATTCAAGGAAATGGGTCTACGTCCTCTTTCTTTTGTGAAGAGTAAGTGAGGTGGTGCGTGTGGAGTGCTTGGTCTGGAGTCTGGCACGTGGTACCCACTCCAGGATAGAGAAAGGAGCTCCTCGGTAGAGAAGGGCTACATCACTACAAGTCTAATCATATGAACACTCGCTTCACTCCAGTGCTTGCTCATTTTCTGCTGGGCACTAAGCCAAGCACTCAGCTACCTCATTTCAGCTTCCCAAGGGAGCCAGCCTCATGCCAGGGCAGGAGCAGCCCTCGTAGGCAACATAGTAGAGACACGGGCCGGGCCTTCCTCTCCCCACCCTGGCAGGGGTCAGCTATGAGCAATTTAGTCACCACTGGCTACACAGCCAGGTAATGCCCTCAAACTGCTCCACCGAAGTCCTTCCCAGGCTGGCAATGTGGTGGGAGGGAGGAGAAGGAAGTGGGCTCTTCCCTAACCAGCCTGTACCTGGACAGTCTTCACTCATAACGGGGAAAACACACTGTCTTGACCCATCCCCCCTCAGCTCACTGCGAGGATGGAAAGTGCTAAGATCTGGATAAAGGTAAAATGGCCAAATAAAAGAAAATTATGTATTTCATCCCCCAAAAGATTTGTTATTTTCTACGTTTCCTATTTTGTCCAGTATCCTGATAAAGTTCTAAGTTTAGAGCAAAAGAAGAATTAAAGAAAAAAATCAAAATATTAAACTTTTTAAAAGTTAAGTTTCTGGTTTTTAGAAACTAAGAAAATTGGGGATAAGAAGAAAAATAGACACTGAGCAAATAGGTTGCATCAATGTGATCTAACAGGTGTGTAACGTGCATGTGAGCCTAAGTGTGTGCATGTAAATGCATCTGTATCTCTCAGAGTCCAAGAACTAAATACTCAAAAGTCACAAAGAAATATGCTCAAGAAGAAACATACAGATAAATAAAAATATGAACAGAATGACCGATCTTGTCAGTAATTTATTTCTGTGTGTATATGGTTAAACACTTATTAAACACAGGTAAGTTATAAAACAATAAAACAATAACATCTAATAATGAGATCACAGTAGAGTCTATACTTTCATACATACATGGATGGAGTCATCGTAAACTAAGGACTTGCATACTTTGGGAAATCCTATGGCAACACTTAGAAAACACTGACCAGTTAGTCTTTCTCTTAGAAATTATGTCAAAAGAAAACAACTATATTTATCCATGTATTTTTTTTTTTGAAACAGAATCTCACTCTGTCGCCCAGGCTGGAGTGCAGTGGCACGATCTTAGCTCCCTGCAGCCTTTGCCTCCCATGTTCAAGTGATTCTCACACCTCAGCCTCTAGAGTAGCTGGGATTACAGGCGCCTGCCACCATGCCCAGCTAATTTTTGTATATTTAATAGAGATGAGGTTTCACCATGTTGGCCAGCTGGTCTCAAACTCCTAACCTCAAGTGATTCACTCGTCTTGGCCTCTCAAAGTGCTGGGATTACAGGTGTGAGCCACTGCTCTTGGCCTATCCATGTATTTTTAAATGTTAATTGATGCGAGGAGTACAACTGAATAAAATTACAAACATAAATATGAAGGTGGCGGCTGGGCACAGTTGCTCACATCTGTAATCCCAGCACTTTGGGAGGCTGAGATGAGCAGATCACTTGAAGCCAGGAGTTCGAGACCAGCATGGCCAACATGGTGGAACTCCGTCTCTACTAAAAATACAAAAACTAGCCAGGCATGGTGCTGCATGCCTGTAGTCCCAGATACTTAGGGGGCTGAAGCACGAGAATCATTTAAACCCAGCAGGCGGAGGTTGCAGTGAGCCAAGATCGTGCCACTGCACTCCAGCCTGGGTGAAAGAGTGAGACTGTCTCAAAAAAAAAAAAAAAAAAAAAAAGGTGGTGTAGTAACATGAGAAAATGTCACTTATTAAGCGGGGGATTGGGAGGAGGCTAAGTGCAGTGGCTCACGTCTGTAATCCCAACACTTTGGGAGGCCAAGACAGGCGAATGGCATGAGCCCAGGAATTCAGGACCAGCCTGGGCAACATGGCAAAACCCCATCTCTACCAAAAAAAAAAAAAAAAATACAAAAATACAAAAATAAAGAGCCAGGCGTGGTGGGGCACATCTGTAGTCACATCTACTTGGGAGGCTGAAGTGGGAGGATCACCTGAGCCTGGGGAGGTTGAGGCCGCAGTGAGCTGTGATTGTTGCACTGCAGCCTGGGCAACAGAGCAAGACTCTGTCTCAAAAAAGAAAAGAAAACAAAATTTTACAAGCAGAAAAACACCCATAAATAATGATGATAACCACTAAAAGTATGCCTGCATACGAACACCTCCTAGCCTGTAGAAAGATCAAACAGTTGTGCTAAGGTGGAGGGATAATGAGGGAGGCTTTGCCATTTCCAGGTTTCCCTTAAGGCTTTATAATCTTTTTCTGTCTCCCTCTTTCTCTGAACTCTGTCCGGAGACTGATGCCTCTCACTTCCAGGGAAGGGTAGGGGGCTGTATCCTAACTCTACTGTCACTCTGGCTCTCGCCATTTGATTTGGCTCCTAAATTGTGTTGCTCTTTCTCGAAAATGCAGCTCTCAAAACAAACTGGCTGGTGTGCTTGTGAGATCAGAGACAGACAGCTCCAGCAAATACTTGATTCGAGAAAACACATTACACTGTGTGCTGGGGCCAAGGAATTTCACATTTGGACAGGAAATGTCAGTCCCCACAAAAGGCCTT
This sequence comes from Homo sapiens, assembly GCF_000001405.40. Lineage (NCBI taxonomy): Eukaryota > Metazoa > Chordata > Mammalia > Primates > Hominidae > Homo > Homo sapiens. The sequence continues at coordinate 167,471 of NW_025791790.1, forward strand.
CTGAGGCCCCAAGAGTGAGCTCAGAATGGCTGCCCTTCCCTGAGCCTGCTCGCCTTGGCACACGGGCACCCTCTGGGCACCGGCCCATGTGGGTGGGGCTCACTCTACCCCCATAACCCAAGGCCTGCAGCCGCCTCTCAGCCTGTTCTGAATCTTGTGCTCCTTTGAGAATCTGATAAGTGCTCAGACTTTGCAAACCGTTTTGAAAGGTTTATAGATCTACATAGTGGGAGTTCATTCATTCATTCACTCATTTGTGCACTAAAACAAGCATGGATTAAGGGTCTGTTATGTATTACAAGGATAAATACAAAGGTGGGAAAACACAGTTGATGGTCTTCAGTGGGAGATGGAAAACAAGAGAATACAACTTCCAATGAATTGAGGGTGGGCCAGTCCAGGTGTAAAGTTGCATCAGTATCAAAAGCTAATATTGAGCACTTACTAGATGCCAGGCATCCTTCTAGGCCTTCTCCATGGCGTATGTAACTCATTGTGGATTATGTTTAATTCACTTAATCTTCCAACAACCCTAGAGACAGGTAATAGTATTATATTCACGTTAAAGGCTAGGAAATGGAGGCACAGGAAAGGTTCAATAACTTGTTTAAGGATGGTCAGCAAAAAAGCTTGAGACCTGGAACTCTGACCACTCTGGTGCTCAGACTGGTAACCAAGCCACCGCTGCCACAGTAGGCTTAGCTGGGGGAAATGGGGGATGACCTGCAAATGGGAGGAGGCCCCTCAGGATTCCTGGAGTTCTCTCTGTGAATTGGCACGTTAGTGTTACGGATTTTGCCTGTGTCCCAGGAGCTGGGTTAACAGCATGAGTCTCCCAGGGAGAAGCAGCTCTCGCATGGGCTGACCCCTCCAGGTCCAAGTGACAGGGCTGATGATCAAAATCCAGACACCAGAAACCGTCCATGTAGGGCGACGCTGAGTGTACCCGTGTAGACAACCAGGCCCCTCTCCCAAGGTCACCTGACTTCCCTCCAAATGCCCTTCCCTTCAACAGCAAAGAGTGAGAGGGAGGCACTCCAGAGTTACATTCATCATCCGCACACGGCAGGAGGTTGGACAAATGCAAAATCACCTGGAGACAGAATGTCTTTCAGGCTGAAACCAGGAAGAAAGAGAGGCAGCGGAGGTCAGGGTTAAGAGCACTGGCCTGGGTTTGATTTCTTGCTCTGTGACTTTGGGCACTGCTTGGTACCTTGGTTTGGTCACCTGTAAAATGGGAATAATAACTGTACCTACTTCATAGGGATGTGATGAAGATTAAACGAGTTCATACATGTGCAGGGACAGTGATAACACCAAAGAGCCAAGGATTGTCAGCTGCTATTGATTAGAGACTGAGCGACCTATTAGAATGGCCACATCCAGATAAATACAAATCCCATCTATCTACTTCTCTACCTATGAGATATGTGCATATAAAATTGTGCATTTAAAAGACTAGAAAGCAATGCACTAACATATCAATAGGAGTAGCCTCTGCATAGTAAGATGACAAGTGACTTATTTTTTTCTTCCCACTTCTCCACCCCCACAACATTTTCAATAAGTAACATGTTTTTCTTTTATAACAAGAACAGGATCAATAAATGATTATTTAAAATCCACTCAACAGAAGTGGGATAGGTGGTTTAGAAGCAGAGGATGAGGTTGGAAAGGATGTCTTAATGCTAGGTACCTAACAGCCTTCAGCGAAGGTACCTTGATACATGGATTTCAGTCTCTTTCAGACCCATGTCCTGCCTTCTGAGAAGCATCGCTAGCTCTGCTCACCCTTGCCCCACACTCATTCCCCTTTCACTCTGCCCATGTCCAGGCCTCCTCAATGCATTGCCCTGTGACTTCTGATTGCCGTTTATGAATCACCTACTATGTGCCAAGCTCTGGGAGGCTAATTCACTAGGTGAACTCTGAGCTGAGGTCCAGAAAGCAAATGAGTTGCCCAGGACCACCCGGCCAGGAGGTGGCATGGCTGGAATTCACACCCACATCACTTATCACTTCAAGTCCAGAGCTCATCTTACTGGACAGCTCCATGATACAGGGAAGTCATGGGTTACAGGAATATGAGGCCAGCGGAGATGGTTCCTGTTTTCCAGTTAGAATCCCTGCCTGTGGATCATTTGTGTTTGTGTGCATGTGTATACATGTGTGATTGTGTGTGCATTTTAGAGAGAGGGAAAGAGAGGAAGTGAGATAAAAAGAAATAATATATATATATTTATCAAATGTTTCTCAAAGACTCTAAGAACAGATAGCAACACACAGAGCTTGCTCAAGTTTTTTGAAGAATTAGAGAAACTGAATTTAAAACCAAGGAAATAAAGAGTGTGGACTCAGATGAGTAGAAAATAGAAAAGCCTGATCCTGTGGAATGCTCTGGGGTGAAGGCAGGCCTCGGCTGATTCTAGATCCTGGTTCCTGACAACAGAATCCTGGAAGTTCAAGGTCAGAAGGAACTTTAAAGGTGATGTTGATGCAGAAACCCCTTCTGCTGCACCCCAGACAGCCGGCTTGTTTCAGATTCTCTTTTGATGGGAACTCAGGACCTGAAGAAACAGCACATTCCCTCGTCTCAGAGAGATGTCAGCCAGCTCTTCCTCTCATAGCTGTTTTCTCTTTGGTCTTAATTTCACCCTCTGGAGTAATGCAGAATAAATCTGCCCTTCTATCCAAGAAAGTTTCTGTATCCATTAAGGTATATCCAGCTGCAAATAATCAAAAGTCCTAACTCAATAACAAGTCATTTCAGAGGTAGTTCTGTCTCCATCTCTGTGGCTCTGCCCAGTTTCACTGTTAGCTTGACCTCAGGAGGTCAGCAAAATGGCAGCTGCCCCTCCCTGTGTGCTTTGGAGCCATTCAGTGTCAAGAGGAAGATGTTAATATGTCTTCTTGTGGGTCTTTCTTCTCAGAATCCCCTCAGCCAACCTCTCCTCACTTCTTATTGGACAGAACTAGATCTCATGACCACTCTGAAGTCTAAACCAATGACAGGCAAGGACAATGGAGTTACCTTAATTGGTTTAAGTGGATCTGGGCTTACCTCTGAGCTGGGGACAGGGTCACCTTCCATGAGGATGAACAAATTCAGGGCTCTTCCATCAGGGAATAAGGGGGAAATGGATGTTGAGTAAATGACAGTGGCTTTGACAGCATTCAGTACTGGGGTTGCAGAGGGATAGAAGACATCTCCTCAGGTGGAATTCAGTGGTTTCTGCTTGATATGGTTTGGCTGTGTCCCCACCCAAATCTCATCTTAAATCGTAGCTCCCACAATTCCCACATGTTGTGGGAGGGACCTGGTGGGAGGTAATTGAATCATGGGGCTGGGTCTTTCCCATGTTATTCTCATGATAATGAATAAGTCTCATGAGATCTGATGGTTTAATAAAGAGGAGTTTCCCTGAACAAGTTCTGTTCTCTTGTCTGCCGCCATGTGAGATGTGCCTTTCACCTTCCACCATGAGGGTAAGGCCTCCCCAGCCACATGGAACTATGAACCCATTAAACCTCCTTCTTTTGTAAATTGCCCAGTCTTGGGTATATCTTTATCAGCAGTATGAAAACAGACTAATACAGTGCTTACCCAGGATCCACTCATTCTCATTCTGCCAGAGCAGCACCTATTTTTGCTCTGAAGGATGAGCTCTTCCTTGAGGCCCTCAGCCCAGGAACCTGTCCTCTTCAAGTCATGGTTAATCAGCTTCTTTGGTAATTATACGAGCTGCCCCATATCTTTCTAGTACATTCTTTTTTATAGCTTCAATAGCCAGACCCAGTCTCTATTACTTGCAGCCAAAGAACTCTAACCAGCCCATCAGATTCAAGGGCACCGAGAGCTCCCTGTTTCACTCTCCCAGGCTGGTAGCAGCCTAAGAACAGTGCACAGAGCCCTGGAGTTTAGAACCCAGGATCAAGAGTCAGAAACTGGATTCATAGCAATCCTCTGACTAGCTGTGTGACCTTAAATAAGTCACTCCACACCTCTGATCAGTCAGTCCCTGGAATCTCCTTGCTCCCAGCAGGACTGGAAAGAAAACACATGAATGTGCCCTCAAACTCAAGACATCCCACTGAACTCGGGGGTCCTAGACATAAGCCACAAGTCCCCATGTACTTGCTCAATGAATTATCAAATTCCAAATCACATCACTTCTCAACACCTCAGTTTTCTTTTTTTTGTAAAATGAGAACACTAATAGCATTACCCAGGGTTTTTGCGTAATTACACAGAATGATATTTGTGAAAGTACTTTCTACTCTGTTAATGCCACAAAGTGCAAGGGACGGATATTCCCAATATCTGCTGGAAACATTAGCTTATTTATTCACATAACAAAACAAATGGTATTAAAGTATAAGTGTAGGCAGTCGTCCCCTCTCCCTGCTTTTTCTTGGTGTTTGGGTTTCTAGGATAACAACGGAGATAAAGGATAAAACACATGCAAATATGCGCTCAACTAGAGAAGCCAGAGGCTAGCTAGATGTACGTGGGGAAAAGAACTATAATTCTCATAGAGGTTAAAAAAAAAGAAAAAAGTAAAATAAATAAATTTTTAAAAACATCCTTGATCTAAGCTGGGTATGGTGGCTCATGCCTGTAATTTAGCACTTTGGGAGGCAGAGGTGGGTGAGTCACTTCAGCCTGGAAGTTCGAGATGAGCCTGGCCAACATGGTGAAACTCTGTCTCTACTAAAAATACAAACATTAGGCTGGGAGCGGTGGCTCATGCCTGTAATCCCAGCGCTTTGGGAGGCCGAGGCAGGTGGATCACTTGAGGTTAGGAGTTCGAGGCCAGACTGGGCAACATGGTGAAACACCGTCTCTACTAAAAATACAAAAATTAGCTGGGCATAGTGGCGCACACCTGTAGTCCCAGCTACTTGGGAGGCTAAGGTAGAAGAATCACTTGAATCTGGGAGACGGAGATTGCAGTGAGCCGAGATCACACCACTGCACTCCCACCTGGGCAACAGAGCAAGAGACTCCATCTCAAAAAAAAAAAAAAGAACAAAAATTAGCCAGGCTAACTAGTGAGGAACTCATCTACGTAGTGAAGAACTCATCTAAAAAAAGTAAAAAAAATAAAAAAAAAAACGAAGAAATTAGCCAAGCATGGTAGTGCACGTCTGGCTGGAGGATAGCTTGAGCCCAGGAGCAGAGATCGTACCACTGGACTCCAGCCTCGGTGACACAGCCAGACTGTTTCAAAACAAAACAAAATCCTTGATCTAAAACGTGAAGGTGGAAGGAAAAACAGAACAGACCCTAAGAAGAAAGTTCACAAACCTAGAGAGGAGAGAGATGCTAGAGGTGGCTATCAGGAATATGAGAAAATGAGAGGTAGGGGAGGGAGAAGCAGGCAGTGATAACAAAAAAAAAAGGATTTTTCAGGTTTTGCTGGATGTTAAGAATGTTCCCCTTTACATTTTCTTGAGAGACTACAGGAAAGTTTCAATTTGCTTTCAATTATTTTTGGATGTTGTGCTAGTCTTTGAATGCAACATTGTGCTAAGGCTGGCCTGGACGACAGCCCAGTTTTTTGCAGCTTATATACCAATATTCACTGAGTTCCTTTCACATGCTAGGCACTGTGCTAGGCTCCAAATACAGCGTGGCCCTTGTCCTCACGGACCTTTGGCGTAGCATAAGCCGCCTGGCCTGTCCCCTGCCTCACTCTCCTATCCTGTTGGTCACCAGACCATACAGACTTCCAGAATGGCTCCTCATCAGCCCTGTGGGCACCTCCTCAGATGAAGACCTTGTCACTTCCCACCTGGATGACTGTCAGTTCATCTCCCTGCCTCTGGTCCCAATCCCTCACCCCTAATCCATTTCTACCCTGCTGCAAAGGTGTGTATGTTTTTCTTTTTTTGTAAAATACATACCTGATCATGGCTTGCCTCTATTTTAAATCTTGACTTCCTCTTCATCCCTTACAGGATGAAGTCACAATGGCCATGCTGTGGGTCCAGCATGACCCATGACCCTCCTACTCCACATCCTCTGCATCTCACATGCCTGCATTTCCACACTGCCTGGAAAACCCACTCTGGTCCTCTTTCTCGCCTTAGAAACTCCCCTTACTCTTTCTTTTTTTATTTTTTTGAGACAGAGTTTCGCTCTGTCACCCAGACTGGAGTGCAGTGGCACAGTCTCGGCTCACTACAACCTTCACCTCCTGGGTTCAAGCGATTCTTCTGCCTCAGTCTCCCCGCTAGCTGGGACTACAGGCACATGCCACTACGTCTGGCTGATTTTTGTATTTTTAGTAGAGATGGAGTTTCGCCATGTTGGCCAGGCTGGTCTCGAGCTCAAATGATCCACCTGCCTTAGCCTTCCAGAGTGCTGGGATTACAGGCATGAGCCACCATGCCTGGCCTTCCTCTTACTCTTTCAAAATTCAGTAGGGCATCCCTCCTCTGGGAAGTCTTCCCTGGTAATCATTTGCCCTCATCCTTATCTTGAACAAAACTCTCTTTTCCTCCTCTAAGGCAGTTCTCTCTTTACACTCAGCAATGACTTGGGTATGTCTGTACCTGACACTCAGCTGCCACCATCTTAAGGACAGTAGCTACATCATGGTCACCTCTAGCACAGCTCCAGACACATGGTAAATGCATAAAGAAGTTTTGTTGCTGATGGTGACAGAGCTGACAGGGTATGAAAAGATATACCCTGGTGTTGGTAGGAGGCAGCCCAACTTAGTATTCAACTTGAACTCAGGCATGGTGGAAACTTGCTGCTTCTGAATGGATCTGGCTTTGCTTTTCTATCTCAATGTACATATGGGCTAGGAGAAGCCAAATGATCTTTTAGCTAATATTTTAAAATAAAATGTTTTCAAATGACACCGGTGAAACACGATCATTTTCAAGCAATAATAACTGACAAGAAATGTAAAGAAAAATCTCTTGTGAAAAACCCCTACCCCCAGATAATACTGCTCACATTCTGATAGTAGCCTCTGCAGACCTCTTTCTTCTGCATACATCGCTTCTGTTTGTATAGTGCGATATGATCCAGTCTCTCCATGCATACAGGGCAGGTCCCCAGCTTCCCAGAATCTGGGTGGAACTGCCCCCAGCAGGGTGGGGCCAGGGGACCCTCTATTTGAGGCCTTGGCCCTGGGCAAAGACATAGCTGGCTCCAGTCCCAACTTGGGGCCATCTCCAGGCAGACACAAAGGGGTCATTTTTCTCTCCCTCATGAACAAAATGTGCTCTGGACTAGGAGGTTTTTTTGGGTTACAAGATTCAACTGAATTGGAAAAGATCATCTGAGGTTTCTAAGAAAGTCAGATTTAAGGACAGCATAGACTGAAGCTTTATTTTTGTCCAAAATAATCATAAATTATGAAAGCCACTGGTTGGAAGCTGGGGCACAGCAGGCTTTTGTGGAGAAAGAAAAAGCATGAGTAAAATGTAGACACTGATAGGACCATGGCGTTATTGGGGGGGCGGTCGGCAATGAGCCTCTCTCACTTCCCTGCAACCTTTGGGGGGGTGTTCCAGGAAGTCTATGACTGGAGGCTACAAATGAGTTAATGTCAGGATTTATCCAGTGCCAGGGCTGAGTCTCATGGGACCTCCCCTGCCTCCTCATGGGACCCTCTATTACAGCTCCCAAGGCAGTGGTGAATTTCCTTCTAACTCACTATGGAAAAAGTCTTTCCACTGGCACTACTTTTATGGAAGCCATAGCTGCATGTATTATAGATTTATACTTTGATCCAGCAACCCCATATCTAGGAATCTACCTACAAATACAAACCAACAATGTGAAAGGTTATTATCGTAGGCTGAATTGTGATTGCAAAATAGTGGAAACAACATAAATGATCATTCATAGACAAGTTGAAAATACAATATGGTAGATTCACTCAATGAAATTCTATGCAGTCATAGAAATAAATGAAGAAAAGCCCTATCAATAGACATGGAGCAATTTCTAGGACATGTTAAGAAAAACAAGCAAAATACAAAAGACTACATAAAGAGAGTATTCTATGTTTTGTGTTAAAAAGGAGTGGGGAAATATACATATATATTTATGTTTAGTTTTGCAAAAACAAACACAACAGCCATACACTAGAAACTAACAAAATGGAGGGGGCAGAGTGAAAGGGATGGGGATGATGGTGAGACATCTTATGATGTCTTTTTATAGTTTTTATATCTTTTTATACAGTTTTGACTTGGAGTGCTTTATATACCCGAAAATCAATTTAAATCCAAAGGGTTTTTAAAGAGCAAACCCTATATTTGACATAAATAGAAACAAATAAACCTTACTATCCATCATATGAGTAGTAGAGATACAATATAGCCACACAAAAAAATCATTAATTCAAGTAATTTTGGATGTAGTACTCTAACTGTGTATCTTTAATATACATTTTCTAATGATAAAAAGAACACAAAGAAATCTTGAACTTCATTTAGCAGGCTTGTTGGGGATAGAAGTATTGGTGCTGTAATTCTGAAACTATTCTTTTGTGTAGTGAAGGATTGAATAAATGAGTAAAGATGTGATGTGGGGACCAGTGTTTTGACTTTGGAGAGGAGAGATGCAAACATAGAATGGGGAAAGGTGAGGTAAATGCATGCTACTGGGTACATCTGTATGTACTCATGGTTTTGAGAACAGCTTAGTTCTGTTCTCTGGAAAGACCTAGAAGCAATGACACTCCAGTGACAATGAGCACACCTAGTGCCCAGGTTTTGGTTTCTAAATACCATTCCCCACCCAAAAGCACATGGGCTCCTTGGTGATATAGCTGATTCCAGGACTAGGGTAGGAAAAGTCCAAATTAAACCTGAAACATCAAAAAAAATTTAAATTAAATAAGTAAAATAAAACCTGAAACATCATATAGTGGCAGAAGGGCTGAAAGACCAAGGAGGCAATACTAAAAACACAGAAAGGCCAGCAAGAAGGAGCTCCCACTGGCCAAATCCGGGACCATAGGAGGGGGAAAAAGGAATAATGGTAGTAATTTATTACAATAAACTGAATTTTTAAAATAGACCTAGAAGTCCATAATCATATTAAAAATAAAAGATATTTACAGAAAGAGGGCAGAAAGGAAGATTTTTAGAGGTACATGAGTGTTGATTGCACTATTCTTATAATTCCTCTGTAGGTTTGAGAACTTTCAGGATTAAAAGTTGAAGGAAAGAAGACACACACGTGTGGGGCAGGACACACCCGTTAGATGCTGAGAAACCTGCCATAGCCTGCTGTTCTCGAGGGTGGTGATGGCGCCCCCTAGGGAGGGTTTACAATGAAATGCCTCTCAGTTCTTCACCCAGTGTTCCCAGTCTTGCCTTAGCGTAGACAAACACAGACAAACATATTCTTTCCACTTTTTGCCCAACAGGAACATACCATATGCTGTTCTGCACCTTGGTTTTTCCTCTTTGCAACCTGGTACTTGGACATTGCTTCATAGCTGTGGAACTGCTGCATTCCTCTCTGCAGCCGCTTGTGGCTCCAACGCACGGATGAGCCACCCTTCATGCAACCAGGTCCTGTTTGACGGCACACACTCCCTCTCACCATTCGGCCACATTCACCTTCCCACCTTTCCTGCTCTCCACCTCCTCTGCCCCCTCTCCTCCCTTGTCCACCTTCAGTGCTGAGTGTGATCATGAGTAGCTGCCCTGACACTGGGGCATGAACAATTCATCCAGTTTTCCCTGAGACTTTTTCACTTTGGACACTGAAAGTCCTGGGTCCTAGGCTGCTGGTTAGGATGACCAATTCATCCCGGTTTGTCCAGGACTGCCCTGGTTGAAAAACTGAAATTCTTGCAACCCGAGAACTCCCTCAGTCCTGGGCCAACAGGGACAGGTGGTCGCCCTACCTGGGAGCAAAGTGGCTACTGGCTTGGAGAGGAGCCAAAATGTGTTCCTGGAGGACTTTACTCACTTTCAAAAGCTCCTCTGGATGCCCCTACCCAGCTCCCACCTCCAACTTAACGTCCTGTAAGAAAGGGACACTTCTGCCCATCTGCATCTTCAGACAAAGCTGCCCCACAGCCCTCACAGAGACTGCCTGGTCCCCTTCTTGGAGGCATTCAGAAGAAAGTTCATTGCTCCCTCAGTGGTTTTAACTGCCTGGAAATGACATTAAAAATTAACCCAGATTGTCATTTCCTCCCCACAATTCAATCAGCTTGGCATGGCTCATGGGAATCCCATTCTTTTAATCATGTTTCTCTTCAAACTCACTCTTGCTAGGAGTAAGGAATGCCATTCACTCATCTTTGGTTCAAATAATCTTTTACCTACTCTGGCCGCATCATTTAATAACTAACAATTTTGTTGAGACATTTCCTTTAAATAAAATGCTAGGAACTTAAAAAGAAAAAGCTCACACTGGCACCCGTAGGGCCCCCAGGGAACTGCTGGGTTTGCGTCCACCAGTCGACCCCAAAAAGATCCATCAGGCTGACAGCCAAGCCCATCGCGGAGGGGAAGTGGAGACGCAGTCCCCAGGGAACTGAGGAGGGAACGCCTGCTGGGGTCTGCCCCTGCAGTTCATGACCCTGAGATGGGCTAGGGTGGGGAGTGGAGGGCTGCAGGCCTCTGGGGGCTAGAGCGGGGGCACCTGATCTGGTTCTAGCAGGTTCCTGATGAGTCTGCTTCACAGTGTCTCCTCTCCTCATTGGCCTGGAGGAAACAGTGGCCCTGGGGAACGAGGTCCTGAAAAGAGGCAGCAAAGAGGCAACCAGAGGACAAGAGCCTGGGCCACGGAGACTGGAAGAGGCCAGAGGGCTGCCTGGAAGAAGGCTCATCCACTGATTTATTCTCCTTGGCTCAGGCACTGTGTTCATCCCCCTTCCTCCCATCCTGCACCCCTCCCCCACCAGTGACGGTGCAGACAAGCAGCACTGTCCCTGCAGAGCTAAGGCAGAGCAGACAGGAGAGGGTCATCCACCCCAGCTGCTGGGTGGAGGCTTGGCCCTGGGGCCTCGGGAGCCTCCCCAACATTATCTCCCGGCCCCTCCCTTCTCTGCTCCCACTAGCCTCAGCCAGCAAGGCCAGCCCCACATTCCTGCTGCAAACAGACTGGGTGGGGCACAGTGAGTTTTTAATTTGTCCACAGAAATCCAAAACAAGGGAGGGGAGGTTGTTGGTTAACTCTGCACCATCACCAGTGCTTTAAGCCTCTTTGGCTCAGAACCCAGACTCAGAAGTCCAGGCCACAAGGGGGCTTTAACCAAAATCCCAGGCAAGAGACCCCTTTGCTTCTGATGCCGTGTGTGGCTTCATGACAGCATGATGCCATCTGGGCTAATTTACCAAGGGCTCTGTGAACTCTGTCTCTCGGCACTATGTTCCCTAATTGCAGCCTCTTTCAAAAGGGAGTAACTACCTCTTCTAATCACGTGTACCCCCAGTATCTCAGAGGCAGGGCTACAAAAACAGCCTTAAAAAGTTTGGCAGTTCCTCAAAAAGTTAAACATAGAATTATCAAATGGCCCCCCAAGTCCACTCCTAGGTATATATCCAAGAGAACCAAAAATCTAAGTTTACACAGTAACGTGGACACAAGTGTTCACAGCAGCACTGTTCACAACAGCCAAAAAGTAGAAACAACCCAAGCATCCATCCACGGGTGAATGGATCAAATGTGTTCTCTCCATACAGTAGAACATTATTCAGCCATAAAAAAGAATAGAGTACTGATATATGCTACGACATGAATGAACCTTGAAAACATTACGCTAAGTGAAAGAAGCCAGATGCAAAAGACCACATACTGTTTGATTCCATTTATATGAAATGCCTGGAGTAGGCAAATCCATAGAGACAGAAAGCAGATTAGTGCTTGCCAGGGGCTGTGGGGAGGGGGAATAGGAGCAACTGCTAATAGGTACAGGGTTTCTCTTTGGGGTGATGAAAATGTTCTGAATTAGACAATGGTGATGCTTGCACAACACAGTGAATATCCAAAACCCACTGACTTGTACACTTTAAAATGGTAAATTTTATGTTATGTAAATGTCTCAATTTATTTGACCCTGTCTCAGAATAAATATATAGCCTCCACTCCCGGCTGGAGAGGAGTGGTGCAATCATGGCTCACTGCAACCTCGAACTCCTGGGCTCAAGTGAACCTCCTGTCTCAGCTTCTTGAGTAGCTGGGACTACAGGAGCCTGGCTAATTCTTTTATTTTTGTAGAGTTGGGGGCAGTCTCACTATGTTGCAGAGACTGGTCTTGAACTGCTGGCCTCAAGTCATCCTCCCACCTCAGCCTCCCTAAGTGCTGGGATTACAGGTGTGAGCCACTTAGCCCGGCTCAATTATTTTTTTTTAAAGCAGCCTGCTGACATCACCCTGACTTTGGCCTTAGCACAGCCCCCTATTGCAGGGCCAGCTTGTTCCTCTGAGTTATCTTTAACTCCAAGTCTCTGCTTCCTGGGACTGCCCTGCTGTGTGTCACCCTCTGCTTCCTGTGAGCACACTCTCTCATCCACACTGGCCTGACCTGTAGGACTGGACGTTGTGATTCTTGCCCGCTGCAGACTTTCAAAGCAGGTGTGGAAAGTGACATCCAGCACAGCACAGTGAGACACAAACATCGGACCATTCAATACCTCTGTCCTTAGAAGTCCCCTGGCCCAGCCACCACTAGGATCTTCTGACTGACCAATCATCACTTGACCTCCCCTTCCTCCAGCCACAAACCTTCCTGTGAGGTCACTTGGACTCTATGCTGGACCTAGAGAGCCCCCTCTTAGCAATCAGACAAGACTAAGGTGTGGGCTTGGTGGGGTCTTCTTAAGGAATGCTTTCCCCACCCCTTGCTATGGTGTCATCACCAGACCCTCATTCCAGCCAAGGAAACAAAGGCTTAGAGAAAGTCAAGCACCCAGCTGCCAAGCAGTGGGGTTGGCTCTCCAATGTAGACCCCTATGGTCTCCCATTTTGAGGGCCAGGACTTGGGGTGAAAGGTCCCCACCTTGAGGGCTGGGGCCCGGGGTGGCGAAAGCACCAGGATGTTGCTCTCCTGGGCTGTGTCTTCCTGTCTGGCTCTCAATTTTACTGGAATGATGCCACCACCCCCATCCCTTTCCCTGACATTGGCTCGGCCCAGGGCAGCTGCAGGATCGATTCCCCGTCTAAGTGCAGGACTTAGAGCACTTCATGGCTCAGAAACATGCTAATTAGGTTTAGGCAATAGAGCTCAATAAATTAGAGCAAAACAGCTATTGATTCAGTTATCAACTCTCCTGGAGATGCACGAAGCAGCGCTCCAAAGACAACAGGGAGAGAAACACACAAAACCCTTCTGAAGCCCCTTTACTCTCCACAGGTTGGGTTTCCATAGTTGCTTGGGGTGTTCGGAAGAAAATGTAGGCTGAAGAAGACATTTGCTCAAGTGCAGGCCTCGGCTCCTTGTGCTTAAAATTCTTTCCGCCTTCCAGCTGGGTATGCTCGCTTGAGAGTCAGCTCTCCAGGGAAGGCTGCAAGAAGCGATGACGCCACAGAGCTCCAAGGTCATTTGGGCCATTCCTCTGACTCAGAGCAGAATGAGGCAAGTAAGGAGAGAGTTTGTCCTTGGGGCAGGGTGCTGAACATGCCGTCATAGTTCCATTGATCCTCAGAAGAGCCTGATGGAGGAGGTCTTATGTGAGCCCTTGTGGTGGATGCAAAAACCAAGACTCAGAGAGGGCGGTGACTTGCCATGGTCACACAGACACCAAAAACAGGGCAGGGGTCTCTGGCTCTTGAATGATTACCAAGAGTTTGGCTTATGCGGCCCCTGTGAGAGCTGCTGGTGAAGTTCAAAGGAAGCCCTCAGATGAAAGGCTTCCTGCAGACCCGCCAGTACAGACCGAAGGGGCAGATGTGGGGAGGTCCCGCAGAGGCCACGCTGTGTGCTTGTGAAGGGGCGGATCAGAGGCTCAGCGGACACCCAGCACCTGGTGGGGCCAGTCCGATGCCCTCCTTGGGTCTGGGAATGTGTGAGATGCTCAGGGAAGGATGCAGCATGTTTCAGGATGATAGCTCAAAGCCAGGTGGCACAGGGGGCGGCAGGAAATGGACCCATGAGGCAGCAAGGTGGGGTGGGGGTGAGGGAGGACTGAGGCAAGGTGGTAGGAGGCCAGTGGCAGAGACGCCGAGCTCCAGCTGGAGTGCTAGAGTCTGCTCTTCATAAAGGTCCATGGCTGCCGGGTTGTCCCCACCATCTCTCCTCCAACCTCCTGTGCACTGTTCCCATAAGCCCCTCCCCAGGTGCTCGGGACAGCCCTCTGCTCTTGGAAACAAGGGGCCCAGCCTCCCCTCACCAACCTCAACTTTCTGTGAATTTGCTTTAAACATGGAAGCCTCAAATGCCTGAAAGCCTTTTCTAAGGATGCCTTCGGGTCACTTAACAAGCCTCTCTTGGGGGAGATTTTTACTTTTAAAAGGAAGAATGACTTCTTTTGGCTGCTGCGGGCTGTGTGTGCTGGGGGAGGGGGCAGTGGACTGCAGGGTTGGAGTGGGGCTGTGGGCTGTGTGTGCTGGGGGAGGGGGCAGTGGACTGCAGGGTTGGGGTGGGGCATTCTCAAGTGTGCTCAAGGGGCCTCAGTTTGCAAACCCTGGACTGTGGCTCCCGAGTCTGTAGATGGAGACAGAGGTGGGCGCAGGCTCAGAGCAACCCAGAGATGCCCCAAGTCCACGGTTCAAAGGCCCTGCCCATTTTGCCTCCAACATAGGGCCTGACTGGGCTGCCCCAGTGACACGCTCTGAAGAGGCACATTCACAGGCGAGATAAAACAAGGACACTCGCTGGGAGCTGGGGCCATCAGCAGCCGCTGGCTGTGGAGGCCACACAGAGGGGAGGGGAGGACAGGGGCCCTGACGAGATACTGGGGCCAGAGGCCAAAACTGAAAACCTAGGGGTGAGCCCACCAGCAAAGCCAGTGACAGGCCTGGGTGAAGGGTCACCCTCCTCCGGGAGCTGAAATGGGAACTGAGGAAGGAAGAGAAGCCACTGGAATATTTTAAGCAACGAAAGAGGCCAGGGCAGAGCCTGGGTCTGAATCATTTCCAGGGCCTAGACAGAGGGCCCCCGGGAGGATGTTTCCGGAATGAATACATCCAAAAGGATGGGACGGCAATTGCGAAATTCCATCATGGGAAATCCCTGCCTGCCAGCATGTTTACCAGGAGCCCAGGGACGGGGTGGATGAGAGGCAGTCCCTGCAGTTTCTCTCTGCAGTGGATGGAGGTTTCTCTCCCAAACAAGGGGCGCTTGCTTGTCAACCTACAAGGGGCCCAGATAGAAAGGCAGAAAAGGGGACAATGGTGAGAGTGCACCCCCAAGGTGCCTTGGGTTCCAGAAGCATGGAGTTGGGAGAACTGCTGGGGGCGGTGGGGAGGTGGCATCCTCTGGGGCCTATATTGATGCCAACTCCAGTCCAGGCAGGCTGCTCCAGCAGCTGTGCTGTCTCAGCCACGGCCACACCTGAACAGTCCCCACCGTATTTCCCATCTCCACATTTCCAGGTGAGCTACACTCAATAAGCTTAACATGGGAGAGGGCAGAGGCAGGACGAGGCTGGATGCCAGGCCATTCCCTGAGATGACAGCACAGGACGGGAGCGGGGGTAGTGGCGAGGATGATGGTGTTCCCGCCTTGGGACACTAAATGACCTGGGTGTCTCTGGGACATGCAAGTGGAGATGTCCAGATAAGGCTGGATCACGTGGGTTCAGGGATCATCAGTGCTGGGGCAGGGGGTACTGTGAAGCCATTGAGTGGAGGAGCTGATCTTGGATCCTGTGTACAGGTGAAGAGAGGAGATCCCAGGACAGACCCCCAGAGCCCCAGAGCCCCAACACTTGGCAGAAGAAGAGGATCTCAGACTCTACCCCACTTGCTCCTGGGACCAGCAGGGCTGGCTCTGCTGGCAGAAAATGCTGAGCAGACTCTGTGGAGCTGCATGCCAGGCCCAAACTCAGAGCTCTGTCTCCAGGAAGATGCTTTCAGGGAATATTTGTAACAGCCCTTTTGCAGATGCTGAAACTGAGACCCAGAGAAGTTAAATCACAACTTGAAGGCACGAGAGCAAATGAGGCCCGAAGCTGTCTGGCTCCAAAGTTCCAAGTTTTATCCCTGGGCCCTATCTCTGCTCTAGGAAAGCCTGTGGTTCTTCTTTTTCTTTTCCTTTCTATCTTTATTTTATTTATTTGTTTATTTATTTATTTATTTATTTGGAGACAGGGTCTCCCTCTCTATTGCCTAGGCTGGAGTGCAGTGGTGTGATCACGGCTCACTGCAGCCTCAACCTCCTGGGCTCAAGCGATCCTCCCAACTTAGGCTCCTAAGTAGCTGGGACTGCAGGCACACACCACCACATCTGGCTGATTATTATTATTATTATTATTTGTAAAGACAGAGTCTCACTATGCTGCCTAGGCTGGTCTTGAACTCCTAGTCTCAAGCAATTCTCCCACCTTGGCCTCCCAAAGTGCTGGTATTAACAGGCATGAGCCACTGCACCTGGCCACCTGTGGTTCTTCTGAGAAGGGGCTCATTCAGTCAGGACCGGGGACCCTAGCTAGACTAAAAGTCTGGGTGAGCCAGGGGACTTCCAAACAACTGCAGCCCCAGCTGCTCCCGTTGACTCCCCCTGGGCCCTCCTTCCTCCCACTCCTTTTCCTCTGCACAGCAGGCAAGGTCCCAGGGAGGCAAGAGCAGGCCCAGGTGGGCCCAGGCATTTCCCCAGCCCCTCCAGAGGCCCAGGATGAACTGGCCTGGGATGAGGCCCTGCTAATGAGCAAAGGCTTCAGTCCACTGAGCAGTACATGGTAGCACAGAAGAAGGCCTGGTACACCAACAGCAAATTGCATTTCCTTCTCAGAACCCTCAGCTCTGGTCTGGTACCCCCAGGCAACAACAGCCTAGCGGGCAGACAGGACAGGAGGCCTGGGAGCTGTGCGTCACTCAAAGCCAGACTGGAGAGTGACAATTGCCTTCGCAGCTCCCAGCGGGTTTCGAGAAGGTAACATGACCAGGGAGCAGTTCTGCCTCCCTTCTGTCACCTCTGAACCTCACCTTGGCCCATGGCCCCTCAACCTTGACTGATGCTAAGTAAGCAGTCTCCTCCTCCTTATTCCCTGGCCAACCTGCCCAGCTCACAGTGGGGGCCTCAGCCAAGGGTTGTCAACTGCAGCCTGAGAAAGTCTTTCTCACTGACTTGCCCCAAGAAGGGATTCCACTCAGCTGACAATTATGAAGCTCTGGCTGGTCCCTGGTCCTGGGCAGGGGCAAAGCTGCAAAACAGCCCACAGGGAGCTCACAGTGCCTGTGGTAATGATGATGACGATGATGGTGATGATGCTGACAATGGTCATTATCATGGTGACGGGGTGGAGGACTTGGAGCCAGGAGACCTAATTACAAATGATAACTATGCCACCATTCAGCTGAATGACCTTGGGTAGGTTACTTACCCTCTTTGGTCTTGAGTGGCATTCACTATGACATGGGGTGGGGGAACCTGCTCTGTGGCAAGGGCTTTTTTTTTTTTTGAGACGGAGTCTCGCTCTGTCCCCCAGGCTGGAGTGCAGTGGCGGGATCTCTGCTCACTGCAAGCTCCGCCTCCCGGGTTCACGCCATTCTCCTGCCTCAGCCTCCCAAGTAGCTGGGACTACAGGCGCCCGCCACTACGCCCGGCTAATTTTTTGTATTTTTAGTAGAGACGGGGTTTCACCGTTTTAGCCGGGATGGTCTCGATCTCCTGACCTCGTGATCCGCCCGCCTCGGCCTCCCAAAGTGCTGGGATTACAGGCGTGAGCCACCGCGCCCGGCCGGCAAGGGCTTTTTTGAAATATTTGCCATAGAGCACTCTGCGAGGGTCCCAGGTGATACTGCACCAATGCCTAGTTCAGTCCCTGACCAGTGTGGTCCCTGACCAGCAGCATTAACAACTCTTGGGCACTTAATAGAAATGCAAATTCTCAGGCCCCAAGGCAGATCTACTGACCCAGAGACTCTGGGTAGGGCCCAGCAACTGCACATCTCACACTCTTGCCAAAGTGTGAGAACCCCTGGAATAAAGAAATGTCAATGGTGCTCTTGGGTCTCTTCACAGACGTGGCTCTGCTAGAGGACTGGCCTTTTGGAGCAGGAGTTCATGGCCCAGATCCATCTCTTAGGAGAAAGGATTGGAGAGTGGGACATTGAGAGGGAGGCCTTCTGTGCACCCCTTCATTCACCCACCAGAAAACCCAGGTCCACCATTGAATAAGCTCCTCCCCCAGTCCCATGCCTGCCCACGTGGCCCTGGCCTGACTCCACCCTGACCCTGCAGGCTGCACAAGCCTGGAGCCCTCCACCCTGGCCCCTGCAGGCCCCAGTCCTGCCGGCTCCTGCACCAGCCCCTCGTGTTGGCTATACTGCCATGGCATAGGTCCAGCTGGCATCCTGTCACTCCACTCCCTCCCCAAGGGCCCCAGGTCGACTGCTACACACCCACCGCCACTGCTCCCAACTGTGCTGCTTTGGGGGACTCCAGCATTCCTTTGCTCCCTCCCGCCCATCCTGTGGCTGTCTCTGCTGAGTCACTCTTTATTAGTGTCCTCCCAGACACCTGGCACAGGTGCCCCCAAGGGATTGGGCCAGAAGCCAATAGCAGCAATTGCTGCCATTTACCAAGTGCTGATTCTGTACTAAGAACGTGCGAGTTCCTTATATCAGTTATCCCACCACTCACAAACCTATGGATAGGGCCTCAGGACTCCCATTTTACAGATGGATGAATTGAGACTCAGGAAGGAAAGATCCCAGGGTCACACAGGGCCACATAGCCAGTGAGACGGGAGCCTGGGATTTGAACTCCTGCCTGTCCGGTTGCAAAGCCAGCTCTCTCTGTCACCCCACACTGTCTCTTCTAGAGAGCCCTGGGGAGGACGGGGGCCAGCCAGTGGGCAGCCTGGGAAGGGAGTCTCTGTAGCTGGAAATGGCCAATGTATTTTCTAGAAACAGGAAATCTAACATTGACCGTGAAGTTTGTTTCCTGGTCAGTTCTGTCTGTTCCCACTGACAGCCTCGTGATACTGACTTTCAGGGCACCCGATGAGAGGGGATGGAAGAAGGACCTCCCGCCTCTCCCCACAGGAGTGCTGGGTGAGCCCTGACTTTCCTCAGTGCTCGGATGCTGGGAAGGTGCTGGGGCCATTTCATTTGCTTGCTAAAGGAAACACTCAGGCCAGGGGGCCAGAGGATTTGGGGACATCAGGGCACAGAAGTAACAGGGGGCTTTCAAGCCCTTTCCCAACTCCTCCCCGAGACAGTGACCTGGCCTAATCCTGCAGCCCCTATGACCTCTCTGTCCCTGGGGTCTTGTGAGGGCTCCTGCAGCTGGGGAGCTATGCCTTCTACTGTGGTCCCCAGCCTGGCACAGACTCTCTTATGTGACTCCACCAGGGACTAGACTGGGGGCAGCTGAGTGCCATAAAAGAAGTTAATGTGGCCTCACGTTGGTGGTGAGTGAGGGGCTTTGGGTCTACCTGCCATCCTCTGCGTCCCCTCTGGCCTCCAGTTAAGTGACCCATCCCATTGGTCTCTGTCCACTGAGCTGACTGCCCCCCAGTACCCAAGACAAGTGCCACTGCTCCTGGTTCCCAGGTCCCTGTTTTGGGTGACCACCTCACCCCCTCCCTGCCTCAGCACCTCTGTGGCCCACCCCTGGGACTCCTGTGGGACACAGGCAGGTGTCATGGGTGGACAACAAGGAGCATCTCAGGTCCGTCCGCCTGGACGCCCCCCTCTGCCTCGGGATTTCGCTCAAAGCAGCCTCCAGCTCTTGGCCGCTTCCTCCCGCTGGTCTCACCCCCAACAAACCTCTCCCAGGCAAAGCATAGTGCTTTCTCCTCTGCCTTCCTGTCTCCCAGGAACTCACTTCCATTGTATCCAGAATTCCTTCTATTTATGGCTTACAGTAAAACTCTACGCTCAAAATCAGCCGGGATTGATTCCTTATATTTAGAAAGAAGCTTTGGAATTCAGAAAATTTTTTTTTTCTTAACAAAACCCGGCATTCAAGACTATTGTTTTGCCTAGAAGACAAAACAAAATGGAAAGCCTAATTTGATCGTCAAAGTGAACAACGAATTTATTATTGTAGCAGAATCCACCGCTTCCCTGAAGTACTCAAGCCATTGATTCAGTGGATGCCACAGAGCATCAAAATATAAGAGCAATTAAAAATACATGAGTTTTATTTTCTTAATTGTTAACTCCATATACAATGCTTAAAACTCTAAAAACTGGGCTTAATGTAATCTTAATTAGAATCATAAACACTATTTCAGAATGTATTTTAGATGTATATCCTTAAAAGTTTGATGCAAATATGATAATTTAGGGATGTGAGGCATCATATAAGATGCTTAATGTCTGTACCAGGAATCTGGACTAGGTTCGAGAATGGGAGATATTGACAACCTGGACTTGGTTCAAGTTTGCTTTTAATTTGATTTACTGCAGAAGCATCAAGGAAGCAATGCACAGGGGAAGGAGGTTGTAAGAAAGCTCCTGGGTGGACCATGGCTCCTGTGTAGCCCGCTGAATTGTTCTCTGACATGAGTAGTGTGAGACGCCAGCCAGGCTGGAGGGGCGCTGAGCTGCAGATGCGCCCCTTTTCTTCCCTGCCTCGTCAACACCCGGGTGTTAAGTTCTTGCCGCGTGGCACTGGGTGGTCCCCCCACATCTGAGGCTGCACTGCAGTCTCCCATTTATGCCCCTTGGGAACTTTACATGGACAGCTCAGGCATGGCCTGTCACACTGACAAGCAACCAAAATAATCTAAATAATAAAAGAAATGACTTAAAACAGTATCTTTTAGAATAATTATTGCTATGAGTTTCTTTGCAAATTCTGCAGTTTTCAAACATTAGTCCTCAGGTGGACGGAGCCACAGAGCAGCTGCTGCTGGCCTCTTCCTCCTCCTTCCTGCCCCACCTGGTGCCTCCACCCTCACACCCAGTTCCCAAGAGCCTGCCACTCAGGCCTCCTCGTGCCCAGACCAGACAGGGACATGTGTGGACTTCCCAGGTGTACATATCCCCACCATGGCTGATTTTCAGCTACCCACATGATGTCACCGAATACGGAGTTGTAAAGAGACGCACGCCACTACGTTTCCATCCCAGAGCTGCAACAGACACAAATAAGCTTAAGTGCATCGACAATAGTCAGATCAGATGCACAAAAACAATTAGAAAATGCTGAGTTTGTTTTGTTTTGAGACGGAGTCTCACTCTGTCACCCAGGCTGGAGTACAGTGGCGCAATCTCAGCTCACTGCAATCTCCACCTCCTGGGTTCAAGCGATTCTCCTGTGTCAGCCTCCCAAGGAGCTGGGATTACAGGCATGTGCCAACATGCCCAGCTAATTTTTGTATTTTTAGTAGAGACGGAGTTTCACCATGTTGGCTGGGCTGGTCTCAAACTCCTGACC
Organism: Homo sapiens; assembly: GCF_000001405.40. NCBI lineage: Eukaryota > Metazoa > Chordata > Mammalia > Primates > Hominidae > Homo > Homo sapiens. The sequence continues at coordinate 188,956 of NW_025791790.1, forward strand.
TCATGATCCGCCCGCCTCAACCTCCCAAAGTGCTGGGATTACAGACACGAGCCACTGCACCCAGCCTGTTATTTAACTCTTAATAATGGCTGTGCTTAACAACTGGCCCACAAAATCCCTGCAAATTTAACAACTGGTTCTCAGGAGGAGCCGCACATCATTGGGGGGGCCTTGGTTGGCCACAGCAGCTTGGGAAAGGGGAGGTACATGCCCTGACACTAGTCCCAAGATGGTTACTTGACATTTCCAAGCAATATATTATTTAAATATGCATATGTTTTTGCTGATTGCTAGTAGGTTTTTTCTTTCATGAATGCACTTAATTTTGCCCAATGCAGTTAATTCACCAAAGGATGACTGGGCACTGACTATTCCCCCCAAAACCTCCAGCTGGTGCTCTAACAGCCGACCTTACACAGAAAGGTCAGAGAAGGAAGCAGTTCTTCAAAGCAGGCAGAATCGCCCTGACACGGATGGGGAGATGAGGGTGGCACACCTCAGGGCTGTGGTCCCTCCCTCAGAGAGAACCACATTGCTCCTGAAGGAGCTCAGGCTCCTTCAAAAGGAGCTGCACTTTGGCTGAAGCTTTGTGTAGTCATTCCTGTCAGCACATTCCCCATAATTCCCACAACCCAAGCCTGGCTTCATCAGAAAGTCCAGGCTGGGCATGGAGGCTCAAGCCTATAAATCCCAGCATGTTGGGAGGCCAAGGCAGGAGGATCGCTTGAGCCCAAAACTTTGAGAACAGTGTGGTGGGCAACATGGTGAGACCAGCTTGGATGGCATGATGGGACCCGCTATGAAAAATAAAACAAAATAAAATAAATTAGCTGGGCATGGTAGCATGTGCCTATGGTCCTAGCTACTCAGAAGGCTGAGGCAGGAGGATCGCTAGAGCCCAGGACGCTGAGGCTGCAGTGAGCTGTGACTGCACCATTGCACTCGCAGTGGGGAGATGGAACGACCCTGTCTCAAAACAACAACAACAACAAACCCAGAAACAGAAAGAAGTCCATGGCAGAGTGGAAGGGTCTGTCTGCCCTTGGGTCACACAGGTCTTTAATCCTGATGCCTGATATAGGTCAGTTAGCTCCTTTCAAGTTAGGCAACAAAACATCCTTCTTTGATTCTCCAACCAAGTGCCATCACTCAAGGCACGTGGTTTCCAAGCCCTCCAGGGCCTTCATCGGCAGTTGCTTCCCTTCGCAACATCGTGAGCGACACATCGTGGCTGAACTCCAAGGGGGACATGTGGGTGTAATGAGTCACTGCCAACACGGAAGGTCCAGTGCAAGCTAGATCGAAGCTGATCCGGGTGCCCACCCCAAACACAAGAGTAGCAGGGAGGGGAGACAAGCACCTACTGAGGAGACCAGGGCCAGTGGGGCCTGGGTGAATCTTCAATGGGGACAGAATCACCCTGACACGGTTGGGGAGATGAGGGTGGGGCACCTCAGGGCTGTGGCCCCTCCCTCAGAGAGAACCACATCGCACTCCTGCTCTGCTGGACTCGGGTGTGGCCACGTGACTCTGCCTGATGAGACATGAGGGCAGTGACACTCTGCCTGGTCAGTATATTCTGTCCCTTTGCCAGGAGACAGGGAAGGTTGCAGGTGGAGGCTACTCTGTCAGCCCCAGGCCCGAACAAAGACAACAGGAACAGTGTTGCTGCCAGCCCGCGATGGAATCTGGGGGTCATTTGCTCCCAAGCTTTGCTATGTCTATCCTGATTGACACCCAGGCAGGTGGGAGAGGTGAAGGAAGTTCCAGAAACCGAATAACGCTGGGCATGTTGGGGAATGGCACGAAGCCCAATGTGAAGGGAAAACAGGGTGGGTGTGTGTAAAGAGGAGCTAGCAGGGGGGACGGGATTCCTAAGGGCTTGGAGCTCTGAGTGCACTCCGTCCCCGCACCCCGACTCCATGTGGGCCCATGGCACCACTCCCTAGGGGACTGCAGCCACCCTTCCCCTAGAACATGGACAAGGGCTGGCCGGCCCTGAAGGAGCTTCGACCTACCTAGAGGAGGCAGGCACCCAGGCCAGCCACGAGTCAGAGACCACTAATTCCGCCAGAGCAAGCTGTTTGGGCACTGCGTCCTTCTCACGCGAAGGGCAAAGATCCCGTTCATCCACAGGGACTGCCCAGCAACAAGGAACAGCAGTCACTCCCTGCATAGCTGCAGGGCACTGTCGCAGACCATCTCCTCCATCCTCCACCATACCTGGAGCTAGTCTAAGATCACAAGAGTTGGTGTGTCTTCCCTGTAGGAAGAGGGCTCTCCCTTGAGTCCAATTCTTAACCTTCCTGTTTCATGGACTCTTCGGTCACCTGAGGAAATCTATAGAGCCCTCCTCAGAACAATATTTTTATTTATTTTTATTTTATTATATAATAATTATTATTATTTTGAGACAAGGTCTCTCTCTGTCACCCAGGCTGGAGTGCAGAGGTGCAGTCACCACTCACTGCAGCCTCCACCTCCCACACTCGAGTGATCCTCCCACCTCAGCCTCCTGAGTGGCTGGGAGCACAGGTACGCACCACCACACCCAGCTAATTTTTTGATTTATTTTATTTTATTTTATTTTATTTTATTTTTCGTAGATATGGTGTCTACCTATGTTACCCAGACTGGAAAATAATGTTTTTAAATGCATAAAATAAACCAGGTAGGATTACCAGGGAACCTAATTATTTGTTAATACGATTATCAAATCCTTTTAAAAATTATGATGCGTGCTTCTTCATTAAAACATTGAATAACAAGGATCTAGTAGAATTATATAACAATCATAATTTTTAAGTGGATATTTCAAAATATCTACAAGCAAAGTAATAGGATGTAAAACTCTCTGTGATTTCTATGGGTGACGAGTCACAGGCATTGCTAACATTGTTTGGTTTGTCCTCTACATTTATAACTGAAAGTAATGCTACATTTCAGCCAGAGATTAATGAAAATAAGGACATAAACTTTTGCCTATTCAAGTTCACTGACCCTTTCACTCCTAGCCCCATCCTGGCTGGGTGCAGTGATTCATGCCTGTAATCTCAGCACTTTGGGAGGCCAAGGTGAGAGGGTCGCTTGAGGCCAGGAGTTCAAAAATTTTATGTTGCCTTGGCATCCATTTTGAGACTAAGTGTTACCTAGTGAGACCCCTGTCTCTACAAAAAAGAAACTTTTTAAAATTAGCCTGGCATGGTGGCACATGCCTGTAGTCCCAGCTACTTGGGAGGTTGAGCCAGGAAGATCTCTTGAGCCCAGGAGGCCGAGGGTGCAGTGAAACTTGCACTGCAGCCTGGGCAATAGAGTGAGACCCTGCCTCTTAAAAGAAAACAGAAAAAAAAAAATGGATTTCCTCTGGATTCACTCTCTCTACTCCCCAATCAGTGCCAATGATGATGATGATGATGATGATGAATGCCGCTCGGTCAGGCCTCAGTGATTTCACCCTGTACATTCTCAGATGGTCCTCTGGCTCTCTAGTTTACCCCTGGGGGAAGCACTTGTCTCAATGAAATGTTGCAATAAAAACTGAAGGGGAGGAGTGGGGAGGGGTGGTGCAGGAGCCCCACAGCCCTGGGTCCAAGGTGAGGCCAAGGGCAGCCTCTGCCACAGCCTGTGTCGGTTTCTCAGGAAGCCTTTTTCTCTGCCCATCCGTGGTGTGGTGATTGCTTAATTGTCGCTAAAAGGATCAAATTCAAAGCACTCGGCCTCTCTCCTTCATTCTCTTGCCTCACTCCAGTTTTTAATCAATCTCTCAGCTGTCAGCTACACCGAGTGCCTGAGGGTCTGCTGTGGGCTCTGCCTTTTCTGAGGTTGGGTAGGGGGTGTCCTCCTTGGGTCCAGCTATTCAATCTGACTCAACAAACAAAGCATTTCTTAAAACAAGTCTTCAAACATGCAAACAGTAAAGGAGAAGACTGATTCATTCTACCAGGTTAAAATTAAGATCATAACATTCATCAAAAGACAGTAAAAAGGAAGTCTCAAACTGGGAGATAATATTCCTTACACCTGTGAGTGACAAAGGGCTAGTATCCAGGATGCATAAAAACTCCTACAAGTCAATTTCAAAAAACAACCCAATACAAAAATGAGGGAGAACAATGGTCAGGCATGTCACAAAAGAGGCCCACAAGAAGGGCAAAGAGACGTTCGCAGAGATGCTCAACCTCAGCTGTGACCAAGAAAACACAAAGTGAGACCATAAGATGAGATTTTGTGCTCACTAGATGGACAAAACTCAGAAATGTGACTATCCCAAGGGTTGGTGAGGAAGTGGGTGAGCACCGGGGATCTTTACACAAAGCTAGAAAGAGGCTTATTCGACTGTTTTGGAAATTTGGCAATCTCTGAAAAGCTGAAGATACGTGAGCTTTGACACAGCAACCCCACTAGCATAGCCTAGTGCCTGTGCCCAAGCCTGCGTATATGACAAGGCTGATAGCAGCGCTTTTTGTAACAACCAAAATCGGGAGAGGGAGTTGTCCTTTGACTGAAGAATGGATAAATAAATTGTGGCATAGTCCCGGGTGGAACATTACCTAACATTGCAAAGGAATGAACTACAGGTACACCCAGCAACAAGGATGATGCTTAGAGTTGTAATGTGGAGCAAAAGAAAAAGCAAGTCACAAAAAAATGCCTCCTGTGTGACACTATTGTCATAAAAACCAAGCAAAACTAAACAGACTATTCAGGTAGGGCTCATAGACATGCTATCAACTGCTTTTTAAAAACAAGGGAATAAATGAGATGCTATTCAGGGTAGGGGCTGCCTGGTCAGGGAAGAGGACAGGATCACCAAGGCTTGTGCAAGTAGATTCACAGGTGCCAACAATGTTCTACGTCTTAAGCTGGGTGGTGGACTCTCAGTTTCAACAAAATCGCTGAGTAGACACTGAGACTGACTCCCAGGCCTGATGCCTGGCAACATACCAAGCCCAGGACACAGGGTCACCCTCACGGAGGGTACTGGAAGCCTTAGAAGTAACCTCAGAGAGGCAGAGAACATGGTGGGCCCCAAGGCGAAAGAAGGGAAATGACAAATGTCTCCTGCCACTCAGATGCCAGGTCTCTCCACAGCCTTTCCCACGTAATCCACACAGGCAATGTGTTAAACAGATACCAATCACGTCCAGCGCACAGATGGGCAAACTGAGGCTCTGAAAGACTAAGCTGTTTCTCCAGGAAGTGCCAATGGGAAGGGCTGGGGCTGAGACACCTCCAGTCCAGGTCCCTCTTTCCACACCATCGACGTGGTGCTGTGGGGATCAGGAGAGGCTTTGATGAGGAGGTGACGTTGGAGACATGTCTGGAAGAATTTGGAGGAGTCAGTGGCAGAGGAGCCTGGATGGCAGAAGGTGGCCTGTGCCCTGGCAAAGTGTGCAGCAGTATGGCTCGGGGCACAGTGAGTGGGAAGAGGGACAGAGCCTGACTCATGTGGCCCAGGGTCTGCCCACGATTATTGACTGTCAAGCACTGAATGAATGAGCGTGTGGGTGGACTTGGCTGGAGCACAGGCTGCACACGGACAAAGAGCTACAGCCGTCAACTGCAGCAGCTGCAACAGTCCTGACCCACCGTCCCCACCCCAGTCCACTCTCTCCCGCTAGCCAGGGTGAGTTTTGTAACACATAAACTGGGGCACATTCTTGCCCAGATCCAAATCCTCCAATGTTGTCTGTGATATAGTCTTAAGTGGGGGGAAAAAAGAGCAAGGAACAGAATGGTGTGTTAGTATACCACCATTTATGGGTATTTTTTGAGACAGAGTCTCACTCTCTTGCCCAGGCTGGAGTGCAATGGCTCACTGCAACCTCTGCCTCCCAGGTTCAAGCGATTCTCCTGCCTCAGCTTCCCGAGTAGCTGGGACTACAGGCATGTGCCACCACGCCCAGCTACTTTTTTGTATTTTTAGTAGAGACAGGGTTTCACCATGTTGGCCAGTACGGTCTTGAACTCTTGACCTCCAGTGATCCACCCACCTCAGCTTCCCAAAGTGCTAGGATTACAGGTATGAGCCACCATGCCCAGCCCATTTATGGTTTTTAAAATTACATAATTACATCTATTTTTTTCTTATGTATCCAAAAGATCTCACTGGAAGGACACATCAGGACCTGGTTGCAGTGTTGACCTCTTAGGGAACCAGATGGCTAAGTGGGACAGCCATGACTGGCCATGTGCTTGCCAATCCCATTTCCTCTTCCTGGACACACAAAAGTCACATTTCCCAGCTTCCCTTGTGGCTAGGCTGGGGCCTTGTGACTTGCTCTGGCCAATGGGCAGTGGCTGGGGTGATGCATGTCTCTCCAAGGCAGGCCGCTCCTGACCTAGGTGGCCCCTTGCCCTGCAAGTGGCAGCGCAGGGTCTTTGAGCACTTTCCAAAGTCCATTGCCTGATTTCTCTGTTCTGCAGAGCATTTTTCACATCCTGGTCACTTTCTCGTTTATTGGTTTATCTTCCTATTAGCGTGTAAGCTCCACTAGAGCAAGAAGTTCATCTGTCCTGTTCATTTCAGTAAGCCTAGCACTTAGAGTGGTACCTGGACTCTGTAGGTGCTCAATAAAGGTTTGTTGAGGGAATGAATGAATGAATGAATGGATGAGTGCAGGAATGAGTGAATGCCTTTAAGATTGGCTTATGATTGACATTTATGAAGTTGTCTGCCTAGCGTCCCTTTAGCAAGAGTTGCTCCTTCCCGTTCCCTCCACGTGTTGCCCTTGCAGTTGGGGACTTGTGCTTCCGGCCCCAGCTGACTGGCTGAGGAATGAGTCCCTGGCTGAGCTGGGTCAATGAATCCCTTCCCTGGGATCTTTGGACTAGATGGGATAAATAGAAATCAACATAGACAGAGCCTCTCCGTCTGGGGTTGAGCCTGTAACGCTAACCTCGGAGCTGTCAGTCTGGGCTGGAGATGCTGAGGGCACGTGTCTACAACAGCAGACAGGGAGGCAGCTGCTCCTAGGCAGGAGCCAACAGGAGAAACCAGAGAGGCCCCAGTCCTGCTGGTTCTAGGCCCTGCTGTGTTCCTCTTTTCTTGGCATCATGAAGCACCTCAGGCCCTAATAACAAGTTGAGGACCAACAAGAGGCTCTGGAGCTTGGATTCCAGAGGAGACATTTCCCAGCCTTTGGGAGGGGCGTCCTGGAAACCCTCATTGTGCCCTGCTCTGAGATGGCTTTGGGGCTTGACCCCTGCATGTCCACTCTCAGATTCCTTTCCTCCCCCTCCCACCCACCGCCACCATCATTCAAATGTCCAAAGCCTCAGGTAGTGGGAAGGAGGAGTATGAATTC